>NW_021160020.1:0-137908 GCF_000001405.40 Homo sapiens | reverse complement strand
GAATTCACATCTTTTATCGTATTTTATCATATTGGAAAGTTCTCAGAAACCATCCAGATATTATTTTTCCTCTGTCCTCTGTGCTCTCTCCTTTGCCAACTCTGATTAGGAGTGTTCTAGACCTTTTCATTCTGTACTCTGTGTCTTTTAACCTGTCTCCTGTATCTTTCATCTCTTTGTGTCTTGGTGATACATTCAGGTAATCTCTTCCAGTCTGTCTTCCAGTTCACTAATTCTCTCTTTGGTTACATCTGATGTGCTGTTTAATCCTTACATGGAAGGGTTTTTTAATTTTATTTTTTGGTTGTTGTTATACTCATATGAAAATTACTCTACTTGGCCAGGCACAGTGGCTCACACCTGTAATCCTAGCACTTTGGGAGGCTGAGGCGGGTGGATCACGAGGTCAGGAGATGGAGACCATCCTGGCTAACACGGTGAAAACCCCGTCTCTACTAAAAATACACACACACAAAAAAATTAGCCGGGCCTGGTGGCAGGCGCCTGTAGTCCCAGCTACTCGGGAGGCTGAGGCAGGAGAATAGCGTGAACCCAGGAGGTGGAGCTTGCAGTGAGCCGAGATTGTGCCACTGCACTCCAGCCTGGGTGACAGAGAAAAAAAAAAAATTACTCTACTTTTTTTCCTTTTTTTGAGACAAGTCTCGCTCTGTAGCCCAGGCTGGAGTGCAGTGGTGCAATCTTGGCTCACTGCAACCTCCACCTCCCAGGTTCAAGCGATTCTTCTGCCTCAGCCTCCCAAGTAGCTGTGATTACAGGCACCCGCCATCATGCTGGTCTTGAATTCCTGACCTCAGGTGATCCGCCCACCTCAGCCTCCCAAAGTGTTGGGATTACAGGCGTGAGCCACCGTGCCCGGCCGAAAATTACTCTACTTTCTTTTCTTTTTTTTTTTTTTTTGAGACGGAGTTTCATTCTTTTGCCCAGGCTGGAGTACAGTGGCACGATCTCGGCTCACTGCAACCTCCGCCTTCCGGTTTCAAGCGATTCTCCTGCCTCAGCCTCTGGAGTAGCTGGGATTACAGCCGCACCACCACGCCCAGCTAATTTTTGTATTTTTAGTAGAGACAGGGTTTCACCATGTTGGCCAGGCTGGTCTCAAATTCCTGACCTTGTGATCTGCCCACCTCGGCCTCCCAAAGTGCTGGGATTACAGGCGTGGGCCATCATCATGCCTGGCCCTACTCTACTTTTCTTTTTCTTTCTTTCTCTTTCTTTCTTTCTTTCTTTCTTTCTTTCTTTCTTTCTCTCTTTCTTTCTCTCTCTCTTTCTTTCTTTCTTTTTTTTTTTTTTTGAGACAGAGTCTCTCTGTCGCCCAGGCTGGAGTGCAGTGGCACAATCTCGGCTTACTGCAACCTCCACCTCCCGGGTTCAAGCAGTTGCCTGCCTCAGCCTCCTGATTAGCTGGGACGACAGGCGCCTGCCACTATGCCTGGCTAATTTTTGTATTTTTTTAGTAGAGACGGGATTTCACCATATTGTCCAGGCTGGTCTTGAACTCCGGAACTCGTGATCCACCTGTCTCAGCCTCCCAAAGTGCTGGGAATCCAGGCATGAGCCACCGCGCCCGGCCCCTACTCTACTTCATTACACTATTTTACTGAGATATAATCTATAGTCAGTAACATGTACACATTTAACTGTATAATATGATGAATTTCAACAAATGTACACATCTATTAATGTGGCTAAAGATCCAGAACATTTCTTTCATCCCATAAAGTTCCCTTGTGTCTATTTTTAGTCAATTTCATCCCCCAGAAGGAACTACTACTCTGATTTTTAAAACCCAATGATCTGGCCGGGCGCGGTGGCTCACGCCTATAATCCCAGCACTTTGGGAGGCCGAGGCAGGTGGATCACCTGAGGTCAGGAGTTCAAGACCATCCTGGCCAACATGGTGAAACCCTGTCTCTACTAAAAATACAAAAATTAGCCAGGCATGGTGGCAGGCGCCTGTAATCCCAGCTACGTGGGAGGCTGGGGCAGGAGAATTGCTCCAACCTGGGAGGCAGAGGTTGCAGTAAGCCGAGATCATGCCACTGCACTCCAGCCTGGGCAACAGAGTGAGGCTTTGTCTCAAAAAAAAAAAAAAAAAAAAAAAATGCTGGGCTCGGTGGCTCAACCTGTAATCCCAGCACTTTGGGAGGCCGGGCGGATCATGAGGTGAAGAGATCGAGACCATCTTGGCCAACATGGTAAAAACCCATCTCTACTAAAAATACAAAAATTAGCTGGGCATGGTGGCATGTGCCTGTAATCCCAGCTACTTGGGAGGCTGAGGCAGGAGAATCACTTGAATCCAGGAGGCGGAGGCTGCAGTGAGCTGAGATTGCACCACTGCACTCCAGCCTGGTGACAGAGTAAGACTCCATTCACCCCGCCCCCACCCACACACACACAAAAAGGATTAAAAAAAAAAAAAACAATGATCACTTTACCTGCTCTAGATCTTATAAATGGAGTGCTTATTCAGTTTTTTTGTTTTTGGCTTATTTCACTCACCATAATCTTTTTGAGATTCATCTATGCTGTTGTGTATATTAGTAGTTATTTTTTATTATGAAGTAGTAGTTCATTATATAAATATATTACTTTTCAAATCTAGTATCCTAATGATGGATATATGAATTATTTTTATCCACTGGAGTTTTTTTTTTACAGCTTTATTGAGGTATAATTGACATTCAATAAACTGCCCATATTTAAAGCTTGTGATTTGATAAGTTTTGACAAATGTGTGCACTCATGAAACCATCACCATAACCACAGTAATGAACATATTGCCACCCCTAAAGTTTCCTTATGTCCCTTTGTAATCTCTTCTGCCCCTCGTTCCTCAGACAACCACTGATCTGTTTCTGTCACTCTAGACTAGCTTGCATTTCCTAGAAGTTTATGTAAATAGAATCCTACAGTATGCATTCTTTTTTGCCTGCCTTCTTTTACTCAGAATAACTATTTTGAGATTCATTCATGATATTGTATGTATCATCAGTATTCATCCCCTTTTAGTGCCGAGTAGTATTCCATTGTATGGATGTATCATAATTTGTTTATACATTCACCTGTTGATAAACATTTGGGTTGTTTCTAGTTTTCGCCCATTATGAATAAAGCTGCTGTGACCACTCTCTTTAAGTCTTTGTGTGGACATATGTTTCCCTTTGTCTTTGGTAAATACCTAGGAGTGGAATGTCTGGGTCATAAAATTAGTATGTTTAATTTTTTTTTTTTTTTTTGAGACAGAGTCTCGCTCTGTCGCCCAGGCTGGAGTGCAGTGGTGCCAACTCAGCTCACTGCAAGCTCAGCCTCCCGGGTTCATGCCGTTCTCCTGCCTCAGCCTCCCAAGTAGCTGGGACTACAGGTGCCCACCACCATGCCCAGCTAATTTTTTTTTGTATTTTTTAGTAGAGACGGGGTTTCATCATGTTAGCCAGGATGGTCTCGATCTCCTGACCTCATAATCCGCCTGCCTCGGCCTCCCAAAGTGCTGAGATTACAGGCGTGAGCCACCGCACCTGGCCAGGTATGTTTAATTTTTTAAGAAACCAAAAAAACTGTTTTCCAAAGTGGTTTTACCATTTCATTTCATTTATTTATTAAAATAAAAAAAGGTTTTTTTTGAGACGGAGTTTTGCTCTTGTTGCCCAGGCTGGAGTGCAGTGGTGCCATCTCGGCTCACTGCAACCTCTGCCTCCTGGGTTCAAGCGATTCTCCTGCCTCAGCCTCCTGAGTAGCTGCAATTACAGGTATGTGCCACCATGCCCAGCTAATTTTTTGTATTTTTAGTAGAGACGGGGTTTAATCATGTTGACCAGGCTGGTCTCGAACTCCTGACCTCAGGTGATCCACCCACCTCGGCCTCCCAAAGTGCAGGTGTCAGCCACCGTGCCTGGCCAAGAAAAAATTTTTTTGAGACAAAGTCTCACTCTGTCGCCCAGGCTGGAGTGAAGTGGTGCCATCTTGTCTCACTGCAACCTCCATCTCCTGGGTTCAAATGATTCTCCTGCCTCAGCCTCCCGAGTAGCTGGGACTACAGGTGCGAGCCACCATACCCAGCTAATTTTTGTATTTTTAGTAGAGATGGGGTTTTGCCATGTTGGCCAGGCTGGTCTTGAACTCCTGACCTTAAGTGATCTGCCCGCCTCAGCCTCTCAAAGTGCTGGGATTACGGGTGTGAGCTACCGCGCCTGGCTATTTATTTATTTATTTATTTATTTATTTATTTATTTATTTGAGACGGAGTCTCGCTCTGTCACTCAGGCTAGAGTGCAGTGGCGTGATCTCGGCTCACTGCAAGCTCCACCTCCTGGGTTCATGCCATTCTCCTGCCTCAGCCTCCCGAGTAGCTGGGACTACAGGCACCCACCACCAGGCCCAGCTAATTTTTTTTGTGTTTTTAGTAGAGACGGGGTTTCACTGTGTTAGCCAGGATGGCCTTGATCTCCTGACCTCATGATCCACCCGCCTCGGCCTCCCAAAGTGCTGGGATCACAGGTGTGAGCCATCACACCCGGCCTATTTATTTATTTATTTTTAGCAAGAAAGTCTCACTCTATCAACCAGGATGGAGTGCAGTGGTATGATCATAGCTCACTGTAGCCTCAAACTCCTGGGCTTAAATGATCCTCCCACCTCAGCCTCCCAAGTACCTGAGGCCATGGGTGCATGCCACAATGCCTGGCTAATTTTTTTTTTAATTTTTAGTAGAGATAAGGTCTCACTGTGTTGCCCAGGCTAGTCTCAAACTCTTGGCTTTAAGCAATCCTCCTGCCTCTGCCTCCCCAAATGCTGGGATTACACATGTGAGCTGCTGCATCCAGCTGGTTGTACCATTTCAAAGTCTTCCCAGCAGAGTATGAAAGTTCCAGTTGCTCTACATCTTCAGCAACACTTTCTAATTTTAGCCATTCTAGTCAGTGCCATAGTGATATCTCATTGTGGTTTTTTGTTTGTTTGTTTAGATGGAGTCCTGCTCTGTAGTCCAGGCTGGAGTGCAGTGACATGATATCAGCTCACTGCAACCTCTGCCTCCCAGGTACAAGCGATCCTCCTGCCTTGGCCTCCCAAGTAGTTGGGGCTACAGACATGTGCCACTATGCCCAGCTAATTTTTGTATTTTTAGTAGCAACGGAGTTTCACCATGTTGGCCAGGCTAATCTTGAACTCCTGACTTCAGATGATCCACTTGCCTTGACCTCCCAAAGTGCTGGGATTACAGGCGTGAGCCACTGCACCCAGCCATCATTGTGGTTTTACTTTGCATTTGTCTAATGATTAATGTGTTCAGTATCTTTTCATGTGCTTATTTGCCATCCATGTACCTTTATTTATTTATTTATTAGACGGAGTCTCACTCTTTTGCCCAGGCTGGAGTGAAGTGGGGCAATCTTGGCGCACAGCAACCTCCGCCTCCCGGGTTCAAGCGATTCTCTTGCCTCAGCCTCCTGAGTAGCTGGGATTACAGGCATACCCCACCATGCCTGGCTAATTTTTGTATTTTTAGTAGAGATGGGGTTTTGCCACGTTGGCTAGGCTGGTCTCGAGCTCCTGACCTTAGGTGATCCACCCGCCTTGGCCTTCCAAAGTGCTGAGATACAGGTGTGAGCCACCATGCCTAGCCCCTTTTATTTTCTTAACAGTGTCTTTGGAAAATAAAAAGTTTTAAATTTGGGTGGAGTCTAATTTATTCATTTTTTTCTTTTAGTGCTTTTTGTGTCAATTTAAGAGTATTTTTGGGGGGCTGGGCATGGTGGCTCATGCCTGCAATCCCACACTTTGGGAGGCCGAGTGGGTGGATCACCTGATGTCAGGAGTTCAAGACCAGCCTGGTCAACATGGTGAATCCCTGTCTCTACTAAAAATATGAAAATTAGCTGAGTGTGGTGGCGCATGCCTGTAATCCCAGCTACTTGGGAGGCTGAGGCAGGAGAATCGCTTAAACCTGGGAGGTGGAGGTTGCAGTGAGCCGAGATTGTGCCACTGCACTCCAGCCTGGGCGACAGAGCGAGACTCTGTCTCAAAAAAAAAAGAGTTTTTCTTAAACTTCAGCAATTACATTTTTCATGTCATTTTTTCAGCCAAAGATACTTTTGTCTCTTTAATGTCCCTGGTCATCTTTTATAGTCTTCTGTTGCTTTATTATTTTTTAAAAAATTAATTAATTGTGCCAGGAGCTGTGGCTCACATCTGTAATCCCAGCACTTTTGGGAGGCTGAGGCTGGAAGATCGCTTGAGCCTAGGATTTTGAGACTAGCCTATGCAACATGATGAAATTCTGTCTCTACAAAACATAACAAAAATTAGCCGGGCATAGTGGCAAGCACCTGTAGTCCCAGCTACTCAGGAGGCTGAGGCAGCAGAATTGCTTGAAACCAGGAGGTGGACATTGCAGTGAGCTAAGATCCTGCCACTGCATTCCAGCCTGGGCGACAGAGCGAGAGCCTGTCTCAAATAAAACCAAATAGTAATTAATTAATTGTTTCGGCTGGGTGTGATGGGTCATACCTGTAATCCCAGCACTTTGGGAGGCCCAGGTGGGAAGATTGCTTGAGGCCAGGAGTTCAAGACCAGCCTGGGCGAAATAGTGAGACCCCTGTCTCTACAAAAATAAAATTAAAAATTAGTCAAGCCTGGTTGCATGCACCTGTAGTCCCAGTTAGTTGGGAGGCTGAGGTGGGAGGATCGCTTGAGCCCAGGAATTTGAGGCTTCAGTGAGCCATGACGGTGCCATCACACTCCAGCCTGGGCCACAGAGCAAGAACTTGTTTCAAAGAAAAAAAAGAAAAAGAGAGAGAGAGGAGCTATGTTGCCCAGCCCAGGCTGATTCAAACTCCTGGACTCGGCCCAGCATGGTGGCTCATGCCTGTAATCCCATCATTTTGGGAGGCCAAGGCGGGAGGATCGCTTGAGGCCAGGAGTTTGAGAATAACCTGGGCAACAAATGATTCTCTCACCTCAAATCAACCTCCTGAGGAACTGGGACTACACCACAGGTGTGTGCCACCGTGCCCAGCTTTCTTTTTGTTTTCTTTTTTCTTTCTTTCTTTTTTTTTTTTTTGGACAAGGTTTTGCTCTGTGGCCCAGGCTAGAGTACAGTGATGCGATGTGATCATAGCTCACTGCAGCCTCAAACTCCTGGGCTCAATTGATCCTCTCACCTCAGCTTTCTAAGTAGCTCAGATTACAGGCATGCACCACCATGTCCAACTAATTTTTTATTTTTAGTTTTGTATAGATGGGATCTTGTTGCTTTCTCATTTTTCATTTCACATTCTCTCTTTTGGTTGTTGTTTTCTTTTTTTTTTTTTGGTTTTGGGAGTGTTTTTTTGTTTTTTTTTTTGAGACAGTGTCTCACTCTGCCTCCCAGGCTGGCATGCAGTGGCATGATCTTCGCTCATTGCAGCCTCTGCCTCCCAGGTTCAAGGGATTCTTGTGCCTCAGCCTCCTAAGGATTACAAGTGTGCGCCACCACGCCTGGCTAATTTTTGTATTTTTAGCAGAGATGGGGTTTCACCATGTTCGGCAAGGCTGGTCTTGAACTTCTGACCTCAGGTAATCCACCTGCCTTGGGCTCCCAAACTGCTGGGATTACAGGTGTGAGCCACCACGCCCAGCCCTTTTTTTTTTTTTGAGACGGAGTCTCGCTCTGTCACCCGGGCTGGTGTGCAGTTGCGTGATCTCAGCTCACTGCCACCTCTGCCTCCTGGGTTCAAGCGATTCTTCTGCCTCAGCCTCCTGAGTAGCTGGGACTACAGGCATGCGCCACCTCAGCCTTCCAAAGTGCTGGGATTATAGGTGTGAGCCACCGCGCCCGGCCCTTTTTTTTTTTTTTTTAAATAAGTAGAGATGGAGTCTCATTATATTGTCAAAGCTGGTCTTAAACTCCTGAGCTCAAGCAATCCTCCTACCTCGGCCTCCCAAAGAGCTGAGATTGCAGGTATGAGCCACCATGCCTGGCCTATTCCACATTTTCTTTTCTTTTTTTTTTTTTTTTGAGGGGGAGTCTTGCTCTGTTGCCCAGGCTGGAGTGCAGTGGCGCAATCTCATCTCACTGCAAGCTCTGCACTCCCGGGTTCAAGCCATTCTCCTGCCTCAGCCTCCCAAGCAGCTGGGACTACAGGTGCCTGCCACCATGCCCAGCTAATTTTTTTGTATTTTTTTAGTAGAGATGGGGTTTCACCATGTTAGCTAGGATGGTCTCGGTCTCCTGACCGTGTGATCCACCTGCCTTGGCCTCCCAAAGTGCTGGGATTACAGGTGTGAGCCGCTGCGCCCGGTCTCCACATTTTCTTTAATTCTTCATTCATAGTTTTGTTTTTATTCCAATTTTTAATATCCTTACAGATCTAAATTTATAGTCATTGTTTCTGCTGACTCTCATTCACGGTGGATTGTTTCCTTGTGTGTCTATGATTGTGAAATTATATTACATTTTATTATATTTTATTTTCTCTTAGAGATAGGTCTTGCTATGTTGCCCAGGCTAAAGGGCAGTGGCTATTCACAGGCACAATTATAGTGTCCTGCAGTCTCAAGCTCCTGGGCTTCAGGGATCCTCCTCCTCAGCCTCCCGAGTAGCTGGGACTATGGGTATGTACCACTGTACACAGTTTAATATTATATTTTATTGATCTTAATCTGTAGGAATTCCAAGTGCCTAAATTTGAGATGTTTTACTCCAGAGAGAAATTTCATTTGCTTCTGCCAGATGCCAGAGGTTGCAAACAACTTGAGACAGTTTTAGCTTCTTTCAGGAGTCCCAGATTAATGCAGGAGTCTCAGTTCAGCTTCCTTACCTTGCAGTGGGTTTACAAATTAGCATGCGATCCTCCCGCCTCAGCCTTCCAAGGAGCTAGGACTGCAGCTGCGCACAACGAGTACTGTCCAAAGCAGGTTCTCAGTACATGTTATTAGGTGAATAAGTCCATAAAATAATTAATGAAAGCAGTAGCTCTCATGTAAGGAAGAACTGAGGGGGCCTTGGGAATGCAAAGAAGTGGGTGAATGTTCTCACTGGGCTGAATAAAACCATGAAGGCAGACTTCAAGAAAGAGGCAGAAATGGCCAGGCAAGGTGGCTCACACCTGCAATCCCAGCACTTTGGGAGGCCGAGGTGGGTGGATCACCTGAGGTCAGGAGTTCGAGACCAGCTTGGTCAACATGGTGAAACCCTGTCTCTACTAAAAATATAAAAATTAGCCGGGTGTGGTGGCGGGCACCTGTTATCCCAGCTACTCAGGAGGCTGAGGCAGGATAATCGCTTGAATCTGGGAGGCGGAGGTTGTAGTGAGCCGAGATTGCACCACTGCGCTCCAGCCTGGGTGAAAAGAGCAAAACTCTGTCTCAAATAAATAAATAAATAGGTAGTAGCACTTGAGCTGAGCCCTGAAGGACAGGTCAGATGTTGCTAAGCCTTCTAGGCTGAAGGGATGGAATGAGCAAAGTCCAAGTTCTTGGTAGGAAAAACACAGTCTTTCCATGAGCTTCTTCAGGGAAGATCATGTGAAATCTGACTTTCCTTTGAACACCCAGTGTACTCTGGGAAGTACTAGAGGTCATCTGAGAATTGAATGAACGTGAGGCTAGGGCACATGGGGAGAGATGAAGGCAGATGTAGCCAGAGAGGCGGGAGCCGGAGCAGGCATTGATTCATCCCTCTAGCAAACTTTGACTGAGTCTCTACTCCGTGCCAGGTTCTGGGAACCCAGGTGAACAAGCAGACACAATCTCCCCCAGGGGAGCTTCATTCTAGAGGGCCTGCAGAACATGGTAAGGAGCTTGGGCCTTACCTGAGGGCTCTGAGGAGTTGTCTTACACAGGGGAGTGACAGAATCAGCCTGCTGTGGAGACCGGGAGAGGGCGAGGGGGAAGCAGGAGGTAAAGCGGAGGGGCACTGACGACTGGATTAGGAGAGTGAGACTGGCCTGCTGAGGCCCTGCTTATGGAGTGATAAAAAGGAAAAAAAAAACATATTTTAATACTCTCACATACCATTGTGACACCAGATGTGTGGGTTTTTTCCCCGTGCCAAGCAATTCTCCAATTCTCTGCAGACATCAACTGGGTGTCCTATAATTTAATTCGGTTCTGGCACTCAGTACCTAGTTAGTGCAGACCCCTATTTAAGGGCTCATTCTCACAGACTGCCCCTGACTTCAGATGCCAACTGCTCCTCCGAGCCTTCTGTCCTTCTCACTGACCAGTTAGAACTCAGGGGTCCCCACGACCCCTACCTTGGGTTGAATAATTTGATAGAATGGCTCACAAAACTGAGGGAAACATTTACTTACATTTACCAGTTTGTTTTAAAGGATATTACAGGGCAGGCAGGGTGGCTCACGCCTGTAATCCCAGCACTTTGGGAGGCCGAGGTGGGCAGATGGCTTGAGCTCAGGAGCTTGAGACCAGCCTGGGCAACATGGTGAAACCACGTCTCTACAAAAAATACAAAAATTAGCTGGGAAAAAAGGTCAGCCGCAGTGGCTCACACCTGTAATCCTAGCACTTTGGGAGGCCAAGACGGGCAGATCACTTGAGGTCAGGAGTTCGAGATTAGCCTGGCCAACATGGTGAAACCCCATCTCTATTAAAAATACAAAAATTAGCCAGGCCTGGTGGCACATGCCTGTAATCCCAGCTACTCAGGTGGCTGAGGCAGGAGAATCGCTTGAACTCAGGAGGCGGAGGCTGAAGTAAGCCAAGATCGCACCACTGCACTCCAGCCTGGGCAACAGAGTGAGACTCTGTCAAGAAGGAAGGAAGGAAAGAAAGAAGGAAGGAAGGAAGGGAGGGAGGGAGGGAGGAAGGAAATTACATCACAAAGGATACAGATGAATAACCAGGTGGATGAGTTGCTTCCAGCAAGGTTTGCAGGAGGGGTATGCAGCTTCCGTGCCCTCTCTGGGCATGACATCCTCCCAGCGCCTCCAAGCCTTCTCCGACCTGGAAACTCTCTGAACTCCATTGTTTGGGGTTTTTATAGAAGCTCCATTATGTAGCATGATTGATTAAATCATCGGCCTTGGTAATTGAACTCACTCTTCAGCTACTCCCCGCTACGTGGAGGCTGGGGAGGGGGTTGAAAGTTCCAACCCTCTAATCACATGGTTGGTTCCTCTGGCAACCAGCCCCCATCCTCCAAGAGTCACCCCATCAGCATCAGCTCAGGTATGGTTGAAAGGGGCTTATGAATAACAACAGATGCTCCTGGCACCACTGTCACTCAGGAAATTCCAAGGGTTACAGGAGCTCTGTGCCAGAGACCAGGGTAAATATCAAATATATATTTCTTATTATATCACAGCATCACAGATGGAGGGGAGGCCGAGGAGACGGGGCACCGTGGGTTGGACTCCAGGCTCAGGTCCCCTTCACCCTATCTTGCCCCAGCAGGAAACCGGAGGCGGAGACTCAAGCATGCTTTTAGCTTGGGCTTGGGAAAAAAAATCCAGGGAATTAGAAGCCTTTTTTTTTTTTTTTTTGAGATGGAGTCTCGCTCCTGTTGCGCCTGGCTCACTGCAACCTCCACCTCCTGGGTTCAAGCGATTCTCCTTCCTCAGCCTCTCGAGTAGCTGGGATTACAGGCATTGCACCACCATACCTGGCTAATATTTTTTGTATTTTTAGTAGAGACGGGGTTTCGCCATGTTGGCCAGGCTGGTCTTGAACTACTGACCTCAGGTGATCCACCCGTCTCGGCCTCGCAAAGTGCTAGGATTACAGGCGTGAGCCACTATGCCTGGCCTAGAAGACTTTTTATTTCTCCCCTTCTTCCTGTTTATTTCTTACTTTTTTTTTTTTTCCAAATGGAGTCTCGCTCTGTCACCCAGGCTGGAGTGCAGTGGCATGATCTCAGCTCACTGCAACCTCTACCTCCCAGGTTCAAGCGATTCTCCTGCCTCAGCCTCCCAAGTAGCTCAGACTACAGGCACCTGCCACCATGCCAGACTAATTTTTGTATTTTTAGTAGAGACGGGGTTTCACCGTGTTGGTCAGGCTGGTTTTGAACTCTTGACCTCACCTGCCTCAGCCTCCCAAAGTGTTGGGATTACAGGCGTGAGCCACCGCACCGGCCTATTTTTTACTTTTGGATTTAAGTTTCTCCCATCCCCACCTTTGCCCATAAAGAGGGTGGGATGTAGGGGAAGCACAGCCCGGCCATCCTAATCGCTGTTAGGGAGCATCTCCTTCAGGCTGGAATGCAGCACCCATTAACACTTAAACCTGGAGACCCAGATGGGGCACCGCCCACTCCAACTGCCCTTCCCTAACCTCTGCCCTGCCCCGCAGGCTCTGCATCTGGGAATGAGGACCACATTCACAGCAGCAGGGCCAATTCTTCCCCTACAGGGGAAGATAAGCAGAGAGGGTACTCGGCTGCCTGGCTGCCCTCACCACCTTGGATGGGGGTGGGATGGGAGAAGCACAGGTTGAGTGAGGCCCATTCCTGTGCAGAGGCCTCTCCATGCCAGTGAGGAACTACATTGGTACCTCCTTAGCTTCTCCTTCCCTGCTCTGATCCTGAGATCACCCAGCTCTCCCCCTTCCACCATCCACAAGCCAGGCTTTCAACAGGGGAAAGCACCTCAGCATCTTGGCTCGCTCTCCCCTGAGCCTCTGCATGGCTGTTCCCTCTGCTGAGAAAAGTCTTCCCAATCTGGCCTACTCTTGTCTCACTTGCTAAATGCAAGACACCTATCCCTGGCCGGGCGCAGTGGCTCACGCCTGTAATCCCAGCACTTTAGGAGGCTGAGGTGGGTGGATCACCTGAGGTCAGGAGTTCGAGACCAGCCTGGCCAACATGGTGAAACCCCGTCTCTACTAAAAATACAAAAATTAGCTGGGCATGGTGGCGTGTGCCTGTAATCGCAGCTACTCTGGAGGCTGAAGCAGGAGAATCGCTTAAACCCAGGAGGCAGAGGTTGCAGTGAGCCGAGATCGCGCCACTGCACTCCAGCCTGGGTGACAGAGCAAGACTCCATCTCAAAAAAAAAAAAAAATTAGCTGGGCATGGTGGCGGGCGCCTGTAATCCCAGCTTCTCAGGAGGCTGAGGCAGGAGAATCACTTGAATCTGGAAGGCAGAAGTTGCAGTGAGCCGAGATCGTGCCACTGCAATCCAGCCTGGATGACGGAGTGAGGCTCTGTCTCAAAAAAACAAATCAAAACAAAAAAAACACCTATCCCTGACTGCTCTGGTGTCTTCCTCTGCACCTCAAGTCCCCCGTGCTTTCCTGTCATTGCACTCATCACTCTGGTAGAATTTGCCAGTAACTTGTCTCCCCTGCTAGACTCTAAGCTCCAGGTAGCCAAGGACCTTATCTTGCCCGGCCATTATTATGTCTCCCCCGTTCAGTCTATCGCCTGACTTACATGCTACGTGCTCAGTGACATTTCCTGAACGAATGGATGAGACAGAGTCATCTGAATTGAGTGAAGCAAAGGAGAGGTTTGTAATTAAGAGCTCCTGTGCCGGAAGTGATGGGAATGGCAATCTCCAAACCTCACCAATAAGCACTCTTCTTCTGAACCCATCCATGAGGCCCTCCCACTTTGGTACTCCCTGGCCCTGCGCAGTCAGCTCTTCCCAGACCCTTGGGTACACCCTTCCTGTTCTTTTTTTTTTTTGAGATGGAGTCTCACTCTGTCACCCAGGCTGGAGTGCAGTGGTGTGGTCTAGGCTCACTGCAAGCTCCGCCTCCCGGGTTCACACCATTCTCCTGCCTCAGCCTCCCGAGTAGCTGGGACTACAGGCGCCCGCCACCACGCCCGGCTAATTTTTTGTACTGTTAGTACAGACGGGGTTTCACCGTGTTAGCCAGGATGGTCTCGATCTCCTGACCTCGTGGTCCACCCACCTCGGCCTCCCAAAGTGCTGGGATTACAGGCGTGAGCCACTGCGCCCGGCCCACCCTTCCTGTTCTGTCACCCCAACTTCATCTCCTAGGACCCTGAGTTCCCATCCATCCTTTCCCAATTTGCATTTGCTTCACTTGTGTTTACAATCATCAGCGCAACCCCTTGTACATATCTGCTGTTTTGCTTTCCAAAGTGGAAGCTCTCTCGTGCCCACCATGTTCCTTCAGGCTCACAGTGCATCTGAGATGCTTGACAGCACAGTGACTTAGGCCTCAACGCTGGATCTGCCTGCCTGTGTTCTATCCAGCTTTACCACTTAAAAGACTGTGAATCTGAACAAGTTACTTCTCATTTCTGTACCTCTGTTTCCTCATCTACAACATATGTCTATGAGGAGCATCTACTTTATGGGGTTATTGGAGAAGTAACTGTGTCCACATGTGCGGTAACCAGCCTCCAAAGTGGCTGCGGCTGCAACACCCCTCCGGGTATTCCTCCTGTTGTATAGTCCCTTCCCACAATGAATGGGGCTCATCAGTGTAATCATTGGGATTCCCATAGTACCTTCCCACAATGAATGGGGCTCATCAGTGTAACCAGTGGGATCCCCAGAAGGGATGGTGAGTGACTTCTGAGACAAGCCGTATAAGGCAGCATGGCTTCTGTCTGGCTCTCTTGGATCACTCCCTCTGGGGGAAGCCAGCCACCATGTCAAGAGGACACTGAAAGCCGGGCATGGAGGCTCATGCCTGCAATCCCAGCACCTTGGAGGCCAAGGCGGGAGGATCACTTGGGGTCAGGGGTTCGAGACCAGCCTGGCCAACATGGTGAAACCCTGTCTCTACTAAAAATACAAAAGTTAGCCGGACATGGTGGCAGGTGCCTGTAATCCCAGCTACTCGGGGGCTAAGGCAGAAGAATCGCTTGAACCTGGGAGGTAGAGGTTACAGTAAGCCGAGATCGCACCACTGCACTCCAGCCTGGGTGACAGAGCGAGACTCCGTCTCCAAAAAAAACTGCTTAGACTGTCTGACACGCTGTCACCGTACACATTAGTTATCATTAACTCCATTTTGCAGGCAGGAGGACTGAGGCTTAGGTTGCTGAAGTAATATCCCCCCGTGCACATGGCTAGGATGGACCCGGCCAGCCGTGTCATAAACCCAAGACATTTAGTGCCATGTCCTAGGCTCCTTTTTCTGTCCCACTGAACCAACTATCTGTTTTGAAGAAATAATACCTAGTGGCATAAAAAACACTGTTTGGGCCGGGCGTGGTGGCTCACGCCTGTAATCCCAGCACTTTGGGAGGCCAAGGTGGGCAGATCACGAGGTCAGGAGATCGAGACCATCCTGGCTAACCCGGTGAAACCCCATCTCTACTAAAAATACAAAAAAATGTAGCCAGTCGTGGTGGCAGGCACCTGTAGGCCCAGCTACTCGGGAGGCTGAGGCAGGAGAATTGCTTGAACCTGGGAGGCGGAGGTTGCAGTGAGCCAAGATTGTGCCACTGCACTCCAGCCTGGGAGACAGAGCGAGACTCCGTCTCAAAAAAACAAAACAAACAAAAAAAACACACTGTTTGATCATTGCCCTGGACTTCTTGAGTCAGGAATTCCAGCAGGACACTGTGGGGTTAATCTCTGCTTTACAATATCTGGTGTCTTGGAAAAATAAAAGTCTGGGGGTAACTGGACATCTGGGGGCTGTAATATCACTCATATGTGTGGCAGGAGATGCTGGCGTTTGGCTGGGACCCCTCATATGGACTCTTCCTGAAGTCTGGGCTTCCTCAGAGATGGTGACTAGGTTCCAGAGTGAGTCCCCAAGAGACAGAGAGTGGAAGGTGCCAGTTCCTTAAGGCGTGGGCCCAGAAAGTGGAGCAGTGTCACTTCTCCCACATTCCATTGGTCAGCCAGACACAGAGCCCAGATTCAAGGGAAGGATCCATAGAATCTGCCTCTCCATGGAAGGCAGGTCAGAGAGGATTTGGGGGCCACTTAAAAATGTTTCTGCACCCACAGCAGCCTCCCTTGTTTGGGAGGTGCTCAGAAATACCAGCCCTGTAGACCATATTCCAGTGGGCTGGCTTTATGTGCACAGAAAGAAACACAGGCCCGGTGCGGTGACTCACGCCTGTAATCCCAACAATTTGGGAGGCTGAGGTGGGCGGATCACTTGAGCTCAGGAGTTCAAGACCAGAATGAGCAACATAGTGAGATAGTCTCTACAAAAAAATTTCAAAATAGCTGGGCGTGGTGACATGTGCCCATAGTCCAGCTACTTGGGAGACTAAGGTAGGAGGATTGCTTGAACCGGGGAGGCCAAGGCTGCAGTGAGCTGTGATTGCACCAGTGCACTCCAGCCTGGGCTACAGAGTGAGGCCCTGTCTCAAAAAATAAATAAATAAATAAAATGCTTGGGACTGTGTCCCACATATACTGGCACTCACTCAGCATTAGCTGTTATAATATCTTGTTTAAATATATGCCTGGCCGGGCGCACTGGTTCACATCTGTAATCCCAGCACTTTGGGAGGCCAAGGTGGGAGGATCACCTGAGGTCAGGAGTTCGAGACTAGCCTGGCCAAAATGGTGCAACTCTGTCTCTACTGCAAATATAAAAATTAGCCGGGTATGGTGGTGCACACCTGCAGTCCCTGCTACTTGGGGGGCTGAGGCAGGAGAATCGCTTGAACCCGGAGGGCAGAGGTGGCAGTAAGCCGAGATCACTCCATTGCACTCCAGACTGGGCAGCAAAGTGAGACTCTATCTCAAAAAAAAAAAAAAAAAAAAAAAAAAAAAGACATGCCCTAGCTCTCTTCCTTGCCTGCAGTTTATAGACCTGGCTTTTTTTTTTTTTTTTTTTGAGACGAAGTCTTGCTCTATCTTCAGGCTGGAGTGCAGTGGCGTGATCTCAGCTCACTGAAACCTCCGCCTCCCGGGTTCAAGCGATTCCCCCACCTCAGCCTCCTGAGTAGCTGGGACTGCAGGCACGTGCCACCACACCCGGCTAATTTTTTGTATTTTAGTAGTAGAGACAGGGTTTCACCGTGTTAGCCAGGATGGTCTTGATCTCCTGACCTGGTGATACGCCCGCCTCAGCCTCCCAAAGTGCTGGGATACGGACGTAAGCCACCGCGCCCGGCCTGGCCTCTATTTACCCTGACATTCCAGGCTTTCCATCAGCAGCTCCCACTTGTTATATCTGCTCCTCAGGCCAGAGCTGTTCAAAGGTAGCCCTACCTGGAATCTCCACTTGAATGCCCCTGCCCGGGCATCTCAGATTCCATATGTTCAAGCTCACCTTCCTCCCTGAGCCCATCACTTCTCTGTGACCTCTCTGGAGCTTCGTGGCAGCGCCAACTGTACCCTGGACATTCTCTTCCTTCTTCTCTTCCTGCCATGCCCACATGCCCACTTCTCATCAGTAAGCAAGTGATCTACCTGTGTAATACTTCCTGGAATCTGGCCCCCACATGTCCCTGCGGCTTTATCTCTCAGCACTGCCCACCCAACGCACCCCCCACGGCCATACTGAATCACCTGTAGCTGCCCAAACACCTCCTGCTTTTTCATCTGTCATTGCCCAGGCTTGTCCTTATACCTGGGATGTCTTTCTCCTTTGGCTCAGGCACAACCTCTTCTGAGAATCCTTCTCTGAGCCCCTGGGGGTGTCCCTTCTCTAGACATCCCTCAGCTGTGTCACATCAAGGTGGTGGTGTTTCTTTACCAATCCATCTTCCCTCCAAACCATGCCCTGCCCTATTAAACCACCAGCTAACAGGTTTTTTGTTTGTTTGTTTGTTTGTTTTCGAGACCGAGTCTCGCTCCATCACCCAGGCTGGAGTGCAGTGGCATAATCTTGGCTCACTGCAACCTCCTACTCCTGGGTTCAATCGATTCTACTGCCTCAGCCTCCAGAGTAGCTAGGATTACAGGCACCTGCCACCACACCTGGCTAATTTTTGTATTTTTAGTAGAGATGTGGTTTCACCATGTTGGCCAGGCTGGTCTCGAACTCCTGACCTCAGGTGATCCAACCACCCTGGCCTCCCAAAGTCTGGGATTACAGGCATGAGCCACCGTGCCTACCCACCTAGTGGTTTTTTATCTTTGTTTCCACAGTGTTTGGCACATGGCAGACTCCAGGGTATGTCCTTGACAACCCCAGCCCCTTCTCTGAACCCTTGTGATATAAATTCCTCTAGTAAGCTCTTCCTGAGCATGTGGCATGAGAGGTTGGAGGAGTTTGTGTTTCTTTCTTTTTTTTTTTTTTAAGACAGGGTCTCACTCTGTCACCCAAGCTGGAGTGCAGTGGTGTGATGTCAGCTCACTTCAGCTTTGACCTCCTGGGTTCAAGCGATCTTCTCACCTCAGCCTCCTGAGTAGCTGGGACCACAGGCATGCGCCATCACACCCAGCTAATTTTTTTTTTTTTTTTTTTTTTGAGACGAAGTCTTGCTCATCCCCCAGGCAGGAGTGCAGTGGCGCGATCTCGGCTTGCTGCAACCTCCGCCTCTTGGGTTCAAGCAATTCTCCTGCCTCAGCCTCCCAAGTAGCTGGGATTACAGGCATGTGCCACCATGCCCAGTTAATTTTTGTATTGTTAGTAGAGACGGGGTTTCACCATGTGGGTCAGGCTGGTCTCGAACTCCCGACTTCGTGATTCACCCGCCTTGGCCTCCCAAAGTGCTGAGATTACAGGCGTGAGCCACTCGCCCGGCTGACACACCCAGCTAATTTAAATTTTTTTTTGTAGAGATGGGGGTCTCACTATGTTGCCTAGGCTGGTCTCAAACCCCTGGGCTCAAGCGATCCTCCTGCCTCGGCCTCCCAACATGCTGGGATTACAGGTGTAAGCCACTGTGCTTGGCCTCAAGCATTTTATATTAGCTTATTTAGACTTCACAGCAATCCCATAAGGTAACTACTACTGCATTTCATTGAATTTATCACGAATTTTAATATATCAATTGTAATATATACTATTATTTTATTTTTTAATATTTAAATTTTTTATTATTATTTTTTTGAAATGGAATCTTGCTCTACTGCCCAGGCTGGAGTACAGTGGCGTGATCTCAGCTCACTGCAACCTCTGCCTCTCGGGTTCAAGTGATTCCTCTGCCTCAGCCTCCTGAGTAGCTAGGATTACAGGCACCTGCTACCACTCCTGGCTAATTTTTGTATTTTTAGTAGAGATGGAGTTTCACCATGTTTTTCAGGCTGGTCTTGAACTCCTGACCTCAAGCAATCCACCCACCTCAGCCTCCCAAAGTGCCGGTTTTACAGGTGTGAGCCACCGTGCCCTGCTGATATACCATTATGTTATATACTGCTAAGAAAAAAATACTATCCACTAAGCCATGGCATACCTTCAGTTTAAGATGCATTCTGACTTCAGAGATGTTCAAATGTAAACAGATTAAAAACGTTATATAGAGTCAATAAAATACATTTACTGCATTTAAAAGATGAGGAGGCGAGGTGTGGTGGCTCACACCTGTAATCCCAGCACTTTGGGAGGCCGAGGCGGGCGGATCGCCTGAGGTCAGGAGTTCGAGACCATGCTGGCTAACACGGTGAAAACCCGTCTCTACTAAAAATATAAAAAATTAGCCCGGCGTGGTGCTGGGAGCCTGTAGTCCCAGCTACTTGGGAGGCTGAGGCAGGAGAATCGCTTTAACTAGGGAGGCAGAGGTTGCAGTGAGTGGAGATCGCGCCACTGCACTCCAGACTGGGCGACAGAGCGAGACTCCATCTCAATAAATAAATAAATAAATAAATAAATAAATAAATAAATAAATAAATAAAATAGAGAAAACAGGCACAGAGAGGTTAAATAACTTGCCCACGGTCCAGTAAGAGACAAAGCCAGGATTTGATTGAAACCAGGCAGCCCAACTCCAAAGCCCAAATTCTTAATCATCATTTGATGTGGGGCTGGGGGTCGTGAGCAGTGTGGAGTTTTCAGGGAGGCCAGCGCGGCCGCTGAGGGTGAAGAGCATTCCAGGAGAGCAGGCAGCCTGGTGGCGCCTCTGGGAGACTGGGATCCACTGTGAGAGGGTTCTGGGTGGGCTGGGGCTATGGAAGGATGGGACAGACAGGATAGAGATCCTTGAAAAATAGGCAGGACTGGCCGGGCATGGTGGCTCAGCACTTTGGGAGGCCGAGGCGGGCGGATCACTCGAGGTCAGGAGTTCCTGACCAGCCTGGCCAACATGGTGAAACCCCGTCTCTACTAAAAGTACTAAAAAAATTAGCCAGGCATGATGGCGTTGCCTGTAATCCCAGCTACTTGGGAGGCTGAGGCAGGAGAACTGCTTGAACCTGGAAGGTGGAGGTTGCAGTGAGCCAAGATCGCGCCACAGAAGTCCGGCCTGGGCATCGCAGCGAGACTCTGTCTCAAAAAAAAAAAAAATAGAAAGAAAGAAAGGAAGGAAGAAAGAAAGAAAGGGAGGGAGGGAGGAAGGAAGGAAGGAAGAAAGAAATGGGCAGGACTGGTTGGCCTCCTGAATATTGACTGTGAAAACAAGGATGGCTCCAAAATGTTGAACCTGGAAAGAGGGGACAGCAGGGGAGGGTACGGGCACCTACTGCCGTCCAGAGCAGGCAGGAAATGTGGCTTCCCATCCCTCTTGGTGGGTGGATACTCACTAAGTCTTTGTCAAATGAATGAATGAATGAGTTGTATGATCTTGGACAAGTTATATGATCTTACATGATCTCTGGGTCTCATTTTTTTCATGTGTTATATGAAGGGATTGGAATTGAATGTGTAAAACAAAAAGAGAGATACTTGGCTGAATGCAGTGGCTCATGTCTGTAATCCCAACAACTTAGAAGACTGAGGCAAGAGGACTGCTTGAGGCCAGGAGTTTGAGACCAGCCTGGTCAACATAGTGAAACCTTGTCTCTTAATATATATATATATTTTTTTAATTTTAAAAATCGGCTGGGTGTGGTGGCTCATGCCTGTAATCCCAGCACTTTGGGAGGCCGAGGCAGGCAGATCACCTGAGGTCAGGAGTTTGAGACCAACCTGGCCAACATAGGGAAACCCCATCTCTACTAAAATACAAAAATTAGCCAGGCATGGTGGCAGGCACCCGTAATCCCAGCTACTCAGGAGGCTGAGGCAGGAGAATTACTTGAACCCAGGAGGCAGAGTTTGCAGTGAGCTGAGATCATGCCACTGCACTCCAGCCTGGGCAACAGAATGAGACTCTGTCTCAAAATAATAATAATAATTTTTAAATTTTTAAAATATATATATTGAAAAAAAAGGGCGAGGTACGGTTGGGTGCAGTGGCTCACACCTTAATTCCAGCACTTTAGGAGGCTGAGGTGGGTGGATCACATGAGGTCAGGAGTTCGCCACCAGCCTGGCCAACATAGTGAAACCCCATCTCTACTAAAAATACAAAAATTAGCCAGGCGTGGTAGCGGGTGCCTGTAATCCCAGCTACTTGGGAGGCTGAGGCAGGAGAATCTTTTGAACCCGGGAGGTGGAGGTGGCAGTGAACCAAGATCGCGCCATTGCACTCCAGCCTGGGCAACAAGAGCGAAACTCCGTCTCAAAAAAAAAAAAAAAAAAAAGAGAGAGAGAGAGAGGTACTACCGTGGAAGGGGTAGGAGTTCTTCTACCCATCCTTAGGACCTCTCTGGGTACCCCAAACAATGATTCTAACCCTGGCTGTGGGTTACAGTAACCAAGGCCCCATATAGGACCACTTATTCCAGAATCTCTGGAGCTGGGGCCAAAGCACAGCTAGTTTTAAGGCTGCCCAGGTGGTTCTGATATGCAGCTGGCTGAGAACGCTTACCCTGGAGCCTCGAGGTACCCAGTTTGAAAACCCCTGGGCTAGGTAAGGGCTGGAATCCCTGCCAGGCCTAGGCACTCAGACTGTGCCTTGTGGTTGGCAACAGGCCTCTCTTCTCATGTTCCATGTCCCACGTTCCATTCCCAAACCAAAAACTCCTGATAGGCAGGGGACAAAACACCAGGGTTTCTCAACCATGCTCTGACATTTTGTTTCTTTCTTTTCTTTCTTTCTTCTTCTTCTTCCTCTTCTTCTTCTTCTTCTTCTTCTTCTTCTTCTTCTTCTTCTTCTCCTCCTCCTCCTTCTTCTTTTTCTTCTTTTCTTTTTTTTTTTCTCCTATCTCCCTTTCCTGGTAAACACTGACATTTTGGACGGGATAATTCTTTGCTGTGGGGACTTTCCTGTGTGTTGTGGGATGTTTAGCAACATCTCTAGCCTCTACCCACCAGAGGCCAGTAGCACGTCCCCCCAGTTAAAACAATCCAAAACGACTCCAGATGTTGCAAAATGTCTACTGGGGTGCAAAATCACCCCCATCTGAGAAGCACTGTGCTACTCTGAGAGTCTCCCATCCTTCCTCTGCCCTCCCCAGTTGCAGACAGAGGCTAGGCAGGGGCAGAGGCCATGAACAGCAAGTTTTACTTAGGCCTGGCAGGATGGAGGCCTCTGAGGGAGGCCAGGATTTCAAACTGTTAACACGATGGAGGGAGGGCATGCCCGCGAACCCACTGATGTGATCTCACTCTAGTGGGGTGAGTTTTCCAGAACATGCATTCCCGGATTCCCCATCAGTCATAGGAGGGCCTGGAATAGCTTCTGGGGCAGATGCCCCCGCTTTCCCGGAACAGGCAGAAGGGGGTGTGGGTGTGGTGGGAGTGGCGTAGGGGATTCTTTCCTTCTGTAGATATTTTCCTGGCATTGTTGACAGCCATGTGATTGGTTGAGGGCTGGAGGGGAGGAACTTTCCAGCTGTGGGTGCCTGGGTTCCCGGGAGGCCATCTGACACTGGGATTGTGGGGGATCTGGGTTTTTGGGGATTTTCTTGTTTTTCATTATCTCACCAACCAGAAGCAGGGATGTCTGGGTTTTAGGGTCTGGAGACTGTCTTTGGAGCTGGGACTAAGGGGCTGACTGGTTCCCCTCCAAGGGATGTGGAAGTTGTGAGTGCATACCCCTTAGAGCTGGAGGCTGGGAGGTTTTCAGCGTCTTCACAAGCCACTTTTTGCTTGGAGGTGGTGGGACCTGAGGGAAGACGAGGGTGGGAAGCCTACGGGAGGGGCCTGGGAGGGACAGAGGGAGGGAGGATGGGTGGTGGAAGGCACTGGGCGGGGTAGGATTCCTGTCTTTATCCCAAAACTCACTCCACCAGGAGGCTCAGAACACCCAGAAGCAGGAAAGCTCCGAAGATGGAGAGGAGCAGAATCTTGGCTTCCCAAAGATCCTGACTTCCTGCAGGGAACCCAGGAGGCAGTGAATGATTCTGGGACCCACACGCACCGACTTGGGAGCCCAAGGGCTCAGGGATCTGGGCAAGGTGGGGCGGGGCCAAGATGGGCGTGAGGACCTGGGAAGCAGCGCTTTCGGGGCCAGCAGGACACCTCCGTCCCCTTGCAGGTGGAGCAGTTGTACAGCGTGGTGCTGCCCCCTGCAGGAGACAGCAGAGGCAACGCTGGGGAGGGGAGGCCGGGCCTCCACCCTGCCTGGTACCCAGCTTCCTCCTGCAGCTGCCAGGCCCTCCTCTGACACCCTGCAGGCCCCAGGTCCTTGCTACCCCTTTCCTTTCCTACTCACGGCAGGCGGGGGGACAGAGAGCTGAAATGAAAGACAAGGAAGGGGTGGGGGTGTGAATGGATGAGCTGCTCACCACACATTCCTTTGGTTAAGACCCTAGGCTCCCCTTGAGGCCCATCCCGCATCGGTACCTTCCCTGGTGTACTCAGGGAGCTTGGTCTTTCGAAGCCAACTCCAATATGAAGGGAGTGAGGAGACAGCCTCTTTGATTTCTGGGGAGGCAGACAGCAGCTCCGTTTCCCTGGGCCTCGACGGGGCCAGTTCCCCCTCTCTTCACGCAGCCCCTCCCTGATCAGCCCTCCTGTCTCTACCCCTCCACCCTTCCCTGCCCACCCCAACCCCTGTCACCCGTCCCTCTCCTTGGTATCCTCCCAAGCCCCTAGGTCACTCTTTCCCCTTGACCTCACCCATGACCCTCAGGACTCTGTGAGTCTTCTCTGTGACTTTGTTCATGGACACCTCATCTGTGGAGATGGGCAAGGACCAGCGATTCCCTCATCAGCCCAGGTTCTGGGGTCTCTCCTGACTTTCCCAGATATGGAGCTCTCTCAGAGGGAAAGGCCAGCATGTCCAGAAAGGGCCACAGATGGAGGGCACAGCTGGAAGGTCACATGCCACCCTCTGGGGGTAGGGGGGTGAGTGCTTGCTGGGCCCATCCCTGGATGTCTGGTCCTACCTAAGGCAAAGGCCGAGAAGTCTGGGGAGGCCCCACATTCCTTCTGCCTGGCCTCCATCTGGCTGCAGAGCCGAGCCAGGCGGCCTGACAAGTCGTGGGCTGGGAGGCGACAGAAGACACAAGCCTGGGCGGCTGCCAGGAAAACCCCGCCTAGTGCCAGCCTCCACATGAGGACCACTGGGGGATGGGGCGGCGCTGCCCCAGCTGAGCCGAGGAATGCTCTGCAGCCCTGGCTCCAGCCCTTGCCTGGAGGTTCTAGAATGTTCCAGAACAATGAACAATGGCACTGCCCATCCTCAGCTGGGGTAAAGCTGGGGCTCAAGGAACTGGGGTCCAGAAGGCATCTCCAGCAGGCGATGGGCAGAGAAAGCAGGGCTTCTGTTGTGAGGGGACAGCACCCCCAACCTGGCCCTCAACAGCCTTCACAAGTTTGTGGTTCCAAAAGCAGTTTTATTTTTCTTCTTGTAAATCATGACCAGTGAGAAATAATGTGTGCCCCACCCCCCACCAGTGAAGAAGCTGTGCGTGAGTATCCCACCCGCTCTGGGACCCAGAAATCCCATCCCTTCCCATCTCCTCCCCCACTGTCCCAAACTCTTCGTCTCCTCTCTCTGCCCTGGGCGGCCTTGGGCCTTCCCCAGCTATCTCCTAGCAACAGGTCCATGGTTGCCTCAGCAACCAAGAGTTCCATACAGGCCTCAGAGGCCCAGCTAAGCCCAGTGACTTCTCTTACCTCTCACCAGGAAGATCCCAGTGACTCAAACCCCAACAGGCCCCTCCTGGCTACGTGGTGATGCATATACATGCGTGCACATAAACACACACACACACACACACACACACACCCTGTGATTAAACTACTAATTGTCAACCACCTCACAGGTATACCACAGACACACCCTGTGCCAGAAGAGTCGCTAGGCAACCCCAAACAGGCCTGGACATGCGGACATCACAGACACTGTAGTCAGCAACACAGATATGAACCAGGATGCCAGGGACCTATACATCAGTCAGCCACACGGGCTGATATGCACGCACACATGAAGAAAGGCCAGGACCCACAGATACTACCCTCTTCCCCCTGGCCAGCCCTGCCATCAGTATGGGATTCTTCCAGATGAGGGATGCTCCAGCCCCATTGCCATGGGGACTGTCCTAGCTCCCATACATCAACCTAGGGTGGGTTGTGGCCTTTCTGCCTCCCTCAGTAGATGGCTTGGAACATAGCAAAGAACTCCTCTTCCGATGTTCCAGAGTGTTCTGGCCTCTCATTGGTCAGGCCAGGCCAGGCCACCCAGCTTCAGGAGTAGAAGCCATGGTCCAAGAGACCGCATTGGGAAAATGCAAAGTCCTCCCTTTTCCCCAGACCTCAATATCCTTCCAGGGTTTTGCTAGGTCTAGTCTGGGTAAAGAGATGTTCCCCCCTTTTCCAAGCCCTTAAACACTGAGCTCCAAATCAAGGAGAGACTGGAGGTGCTCAGCCTTAGGCAAGAACAAGCTGAGAGAACCTTCCCTACCCCTCCCAGGGTCAGCACAGGTTGAGACCTTCTGGACCACTTGTGAGTCCTTGGTGGGCTCAGGTTTGGGAATTCCTGCCCACATCTGAGCTCCAGTCAGGTGCAGGAGAGTCCCGACTCTCATAGCTCCTGAAGCAGAGCTGGAAAGAGGCTTCAGGGGTGCTAGTACCCCATTCTCTCTCCTCCCCACAGTCAAACTGAGAACAGCATCCTCAGTGCCGGACAAAGCGCAGAGACCTGGAGTTGAGCAGGTCTTCGGGGTCGGGGAAGACAGAGTCTAGTCGGAAGCCGTGCTCGAGAGCCACCCGCAGCACCTCCTCCAGGAAGCTTGGGGTGCCCACCACCTCCCGCCGCTCTCCTGGCCCCCCAGTCCACAGCGGCTGCAGCCCCAGTCTCCCATACTCCACCTCGGGGAGTTCCACGGGGCGGGGGGCCCACTCCAGATGAAAATGTGGGCTCCCCTCTGCCCTATCCCCACTGGCCACACCAAATCGGGCCCGCAAAGCACCTAGACACTCAGAGTCGGTGCAGAAAAGGTTGGCTCGGAAGGTGTCCACCTGGACGGAGCTCAGCTCATAGTGATGGGGTCCCCGGCGAGCAGAGAAGTGCACCAGGCGGGGGCTGACATCTACATCTGCGTGGAGCAGGGCAGCTGTGGGTGCAGGGGTCCCCTGAGAGGCCTCCAGTTCCCGCAGCGCGTCCAGGAGGGGCCGGATCTGGTAGAAGTCAGCCTCTGCCCTGAGCAGCGCTGTCTCTCCGTACCCACGGGGCAGGTCCAGGCGGCCCAGCCTCAGGAAATTGAGGATGTGCCGGAAGGCCTTGCCATCCCGGTCGATGAAGTAGTGGCCGCCTCCTTGGGAATTGAGGTTGGGGGGCATGGGGGTGCCGGCCCTAAACATGGCCCCCAGCATAGAGTCTGGGAAGCGGGTCAGGGTCTCCAAAGTGGTGGAATATAGTGTGCCCCCCACATTCAGGGTCACGGGGCCCCCAAAGGAGGGGGGCGAAGAGGGCACAGGAGGAGGAGAAATTTTGGGAAGTACAGGAGACACCGAAAGAAAAGAAAAGGCAGAACTTCCTGGGTGTGTGCAGAATTGGGTCGAAGCTGTCAGATTCGCTGGGTTGGAGGCACAGGTGGAGCACACCCAGTAAGGTTTGGGGCTCACCCCGGCTACTTTGGTGGTGGATGGGGAGGTGGTGTCAGGACACAGAAATCCCCAAAAGGTTGAGAGAAGAGATGAAAAGAGCAGAGGGCAGCCAGAGAGGGGAAGGGAGCTTGAGGTCTGGACGTATCCGATTTGGGGTGGTCAGCGACACCCCTCTGTGGTCTTCAGACAGTGGGTTTCCGGAATCCAACCAGCAGGTGACGGTGGCGAGCACAGGGCCGACTCTGAAGGGATGGCCTCCGAGACCCCGGGCAGATCGCTGCCGCCGTGGACGAGTCCAGCCAGGGCTCTGGGGCCACTCAGAGGCCTGGCCTGGCTGCCGGCGCGGGTCCCAGGAGATGGAGGCCGAACTGACGGGAGCGGATGGCGGAGCCCCCTTGTATCCGCCGGGGAGCGACGATGCGTGCTCAGCCCGGGCTGGGAGTGTCCGAGGGCTCTGATGGAAACAGCCAGGAGTTTCGGGACCCGGCCGCGCCGCCTTCCCTGGGTGTCGCCGCAGCCGCTGAGGTCCTCTCCGCCCCCAGGAAGTGGCCTAAGGGCAGCGGCCCGGGGCCCTTTAAGAGACAGCCCCGCCCCTTGGCGCCCCGCCCCCGCCCCCGCGAGGCTCGCGCGGCCCGGGCGGAGGTGGGAGGCTGGAGGCGAGTCTCGGACGCGAGAGACTGGGCGGACTGGCTGGACTGGCAGACGCTGGCGGGACGGGGTGACTCAGGCACGTCGCCCCGGATGTGGCCACGACCGCCCCGCCGCCGCTCAGGTGTGCCCGATCTCACGTCTGCAAGTCGGCGGGGCTGGAGCCTCTAATCCCACCGCTCAGAGCCCGAGGCCCGGCCGGCCCAGCCCGGGAGCCGAGTCCCTCCCAGCGGCTCCCCCGGGGAATTCCCGAGGGGGCGGGTGCTGAGCCGCCGCATTCCGGGGATGCCTTCCAGCCGGGGTGGCCCGGGCGCGCTCTCTCCGCGGCGGCGCGGGGCCAGCGAGCCCCAGGGCCAGCCCCACCCCTCGGCAGGACTGGGCTGGCCACGTCGCCCCAGCCCGAGAGCCCCCGCCCCGCAGCGCCCTGCGCTCAGGCCGCGGCCGAAGCTGCCGCCTCGCTCCCCGGAGTCGCACCTTGCTGGACTGGAGCTCGCAAACCCCCAGCTGCTCCCCGCACCTCGGGAGCCGCAGCGCCCAACACCCTACGGGCCCGAAGGTGGCGCCCAAGAAGTGAACCAGAAGGGAAGAGCGAAGCACGGAGGCTTTAATGGCAGAGGGCCCGGTGGCGGGGAAGGGAGGCAGGCGCGGGCCCCGTGGGCCTCGGGTCACAGCGTGTGGAGGTCATGACTGCGACGGCTCAGCTTCTCCGGGTCGTCTGACGCCATGAGGGAGAAGTCGCGGAAGATGTCAAGATACGTCTCATCTCCTGGGGGAGGGAGGAAAGGCCGGGAGGCGGCTGGGCCCCAGTGCAGAAGGGCAGGATCCGGCGGTTGGGGCCCACCTGGGGACCTCGCGCTCCGAGCCTGGGTGGGAACGTGCGCGCCGCGGGCACTGCGCCAGCACCTATGCCTTGCCAGGGCCTGGCACGTCGCATGCGCCCAATACGCATTTGTTAAATAACGGAATGAATGCAGCTGGGCACTAGGGAGAGAGGTCACCGTGGACCAGAAGCCCAGAGTTCAGGTGTTGGGCCTGGGGGGTGGGGTGGGTGTATTCTTTACCTGCCTGCCCCTGGGCCGCTTCAGCCTCCCTCATCTTTGCCAGTCGTAGCCTGAAGAGGAGGGAATTAAGAAATGAACGACACTATCTTTGGCCGGGCGCGGTGGCTCACGCCTGTAATCCCAACACTTTGGGAGGCCGAGGCAGGCGGATCACGAGGTCAGGAGATCGAGACCGTCCTGGCCAACATGGTGAAACCCCGTCTCTACTAAAAATACAAAAAATTAGCCGGGGGTGGTGGCGCACGCCTGTAGTCCCAGCTACTCAGGGGAGGCTGAGACAGGAGAATCGCTTGAACCCGGGAGGCGGGGGTTGCAGTGAGCCGAGATCGCGCCCCTGCACTCTAGCCTGGGCGACAGAGTGAGACTCCGTCTCAAAAAAAAAAAAAAAGACTATCCTCACCTCCCCCACAACTTCCCATCCTTTGAGCTGGGTTGCGTTCCGTTCATCTGCCCCCACCCCCGGGGTCACGTCTAGTGCTAAAAAGATGCCTGACAGCAATGTTGATGGGCGAATTACGCCTCTCAGGGTGGGCCAAGCATCCTTGCACCCTGCCCGCCCTCCCGCCTGCCTTCTACTCCACGTCCCAGTGCACACTTCGCGCAGCCTTTCTCGAGCCTGGCCCCGGCGCTGGCCCAGCCCCTTTCCGAGGCCCCACAGCACAGGCTTCTGTTTCGGCGTCAGCCCCGCCCGCCCGCCCGAACGTGGGTGGGCGGGGGTGGGGGGAGTCCCAGCGCCAGCCCCGCCCCTTCAGGCATTCTTACAGGGTGACGATGTCAGCGTTGGCTGTTTCCATGGCGATGGTCAGAGGGTCCCTGCCTTCAGAGTCTCGAGCCCCCAGATCAGCTCCCCGTTTCAGGAACAGGCAGGCGAGCCTGGAGAGAAGAGCCAGGGTCAGCCGGCCGCCCAACTTCTCCCAGCCTTCCTCCCCATGCCATCATCCCTACCCCGTGTGGCCAAGAATGGTTGCGTGGTGCAGCGGGCCCCGGCCCGCACTGTCCGCTTGGTTCACGTTCGCCCCGTTCTGGAGGAGAAACTCACAGGCCAGAAGAGAATTCTGCATGGAGAAGTCGAGAAGGGGGGTTGAGGGTGGCATCCCTAGTGGTGGATTTCAAGATGTCTTAGGGTGGCGCCAGTTCAGAGAATGGGAGGGTGGAGTGTGGTAATCAGGAGTGTGGAAGGGGTTACAGCTAACTGTAACCAAGCTAGGCTTGGCTCTAGCTCTTTGCATGTATTCATATATAAATCCATAGTACAAGCTTTTGAGGTATGTTACTATTTTACAGATGAGGCTGAGAGGTTAATAACTTGTTAAAAGTCTCCTGTAGGCCGGGCACAGTGGCTCACGCCAGTAATCCCAGCACTTTGGGAGGCC
Source organism: Homo sapiens (assembly GCF_000001405.40). Classification (NCBI taxonomy): domain Eukaryota; kingdom Metazoa; phylum Chordata; class Mammalia; order Primates; family Hominidae; genus Homo; species Homo sapiens. The sequence continues at coordinate 107,991 of NW_021160020.1, read as the reverse complement.
GAGGCGGGTGGATCACAAGGTCAGGAGATCCAGACCATCCTGGCTAACACGGTGAAACCCTATCTCTACTAACAATACAAAAAATTAGCCGGGCATGCTGGCTGGCGCCTGTAGTCCCAGCTACTCAGGCAGCTGAGGCAGGAGAATGGTGTGAACCCGGGAGGCGGAGCTTGCAGTGAGCCGAGATCGCACCATTGCACTCCAGCCTGGGGGACAGAGCGAGACTGTCTCAAAAAAAAAAAAAAAAGTCTCCTGTAAGAGGTGAGAGCCTGGGTTCAAACTCAGGTTCTCTGCCTCCAAATCACACACTCTTAGCAACCAGTCTCTATTGTTGATCTCTCCCTATGGGTGGAAGCCCTAGGGAACAGGTGGTGGGGAAAGGAGGTAAGGGCAGGGCCCAGAGTCAGGAGTAGGTGTCAGAGCCCTAGGGTGGGGTGGAGAGGTCAGCAGGGCTCTTACAGCAGCTGTGGCCTGGATCAGCGGTGTGGCATTATCTTGGCCCCCATTGACCCAGTTGACATCAGCTCCATGGGCAAGGGCATCAGCCATGGTGGGAAGAGATGGAGGATGCCCAGACGCTCGAAACAGTAGGGCCCCAGGGTGCAGGCTTCCCAGGTCCTCAGAGGGGGGCTCTGTTCGGGGGATTTGGTTCTGTTAGGGGGAAGCAGCTCCGAGTCTGGGAAGAAAACCCTCAGCAGTGTCCCAATGCTATAATGGGACAGGTCTCTTCTAAATGATGGGGAGCTTGGGACTGTGGAGGGAATAGAGTGATGCAAGTGTGGGTATGTGTAAGTATGCGTATGCATGTGTACGAGTCCCTAGGGTGTGGGGGAGAGACGGCATCATCACCTCATCTGGTCCAACCACACTTGGCCTCAGCTCTCAACCCCTGACGCTCCAGCCAAACCCACCCCCTCTCTCTCTCCTTTTCTTGTGCTGTTGGCACCCCTTACCCTCCCTGCCCACGCCCAGCCCCACATTCCTTCTCATTCTTAATGTCACACTCCACCGTAACCCCTGAAACGGCAGTCCGGTCCCTCCGACATTGTCCAGCGGAAGGCCTGGGCTTCACACTCTGTGCCTCCCGGCGCTACCTGGCACGATGCCGAGCACACAGCAGATGCTCAATGAATGCCCAACCAACCCTATACCTGGCTTGGATCTCAAGCTCCCTGGCCGGGGCCTGATGGAAGGCTTTGGGGGCACAGGAGGCTGCCCCCTTGGGCGCCCCCGGCCACCTCTTCGCCCTCGAATCTCAGGCAGCTTGGTCAGGAACTTCTTCTCCACGTATTTAGCGTGAATCCAGGCCTCCTTCTCCTGCCTGTGGGAGGGGAGAAGCACGCAGTCTTCCCTCTTCTGCTCCAGGGGTCCCCCATTCCCCTGGGAGGCTAAACCCCAAGCTCACCGGGAGCAGCTGGGCCCTGGTTTCTTCACTGCCATGGCCTCCACGCGGGCCTCATAGATCTGGTTGATGATGACATTTCCCAGCTCACACATGAGCTTCAGGAGGCCCAGGCAGAGGCAGAGACAGGGAAGGTGGGGGTGAGTGACTCCTCAGGGATCACGCCCCTGCACCGCCATGTCCTTGCCCCACCCCAAGTTCTTGCCCCCAATCTTCACAATACGCTAAGTTACCTTCACTAGTTCTGGCTCCCATGAGTCAAGGGTCAGAGACCGGACTTTGGAGAAGTGAACACCAAGGCTCCTGGAGGGCCAGAGGGGGAGGGTCAGGCCCTGTGCAGGGGGGCAGTGGCCTGGGGAGCTGCTGCTGCTCCTGAAGACACTGGGAGGCAAGGCTGGCATGGGGGCCCGTGCAGAGGTGCTGGCCCAGGAGGCAGGGCAGCTGCGGCCATGTAACCGCCATGTAGCCTTGACCTGGCCCTGGCAGGACTCTGCCTCGTCACCATTCCTTCTTCCTTAGGTTTCATTTCAAGGCCCTCATCACTCCAGCCACCTCCCTTCTCTAGTGACACTTGTGACACTTTGGCCTGGACAACCTCTCCCATGTCACCTCCCTTCCACCACACTGAGGTGGGGGGCGAGGGCCTTAGATACTTGCTAAGGCCTCATGACCGTTTCTCTGCCTAGTCTTCACTGGCTCCCCCACCCTCAGCAGCCTTGACCCCACACTTCTTCCAACCAAGCCAACAAATTCTGGGTATCCCCCAATTCTGGCCAGACTAGGACACAGAGGGGCTAGGCCCGCCTGGGTCCAACTGGCACCCCAGAGGCTTGGGCCCAGGCCTGGTACCCAGTGACAAAGCCAGAAGCTAAGAGAGGAAGCCAGGACAGGGAAGGAAGAGGGGCCGGTGTGATGCGCTCTGTATTGGAGCCGCACTGTGGCCCGAAGGAGTGGGGCTCCCGCATGGGCCTTGTGGAGTAACCTGTGGATGCCGGAACACTGAATGCAGAGGGTGACACCAAGGTTGATGCTGGCCCACTCCGGGGCTGGCTCCCGGCAGTCGCAGCACTGGGCATTGCCATCCACACTCTGGACCTGGGCCACCACGTGCCCGACTCCCCCAGGCTCCCTTCCCCTGGCCATTCCACCAGAGCCCAGGGTGGCAGCAGAGCCTATGGCCAGGTGTCCTGAGCCCTGGGGGAGAGAGGGGAAGAAAGGGTGGCCAAGGGGCCTAGGGTAAAGGGTGCCCCATCTCCACAGGCAGCCTGGCTCCGCACCCCCAGGTTAAGGTACCTGGCCTGGACCCCGGGGGCTGTCATCAAGGCGAGCCTGACTGAAGGCAGAAGCAATGCTGCTCTGCACAGCACTGACCCACAGCTGCAGGAGGCGCTCTGAGTCAGCCTGGAGGAGGCAGGACCTAGGTAGGAGGGTGAGGGAGATGGCAGAGGGGTCTGAGGCCTGGGAAGCAAAGTGGCAGCATGGGCAGACTGACATTCAGCCAGTATTCAACCAGTTCCAGTTGCATTGAAAGACTTCTGTACCAGTTGGTAATATTCTCCTAAATATCCCCCATCACCCTGTACCCTCTTCCACAATGGCCCCCCAGTCCAGCCGCCAAAGAATTAAATTAAAGTCTGGAGCTGCATGGGGGGCCTCCATTGTGGTGGGCCCTGCCTTTCAGATTGGCAGTTGTTTAGATATATTAGAGTATCACCCCTGGGGATTGCACTCACTTGCTGGTGGACACCACCTCAAAGCAGAACCGCCTTTCTGAGTCAGGGCAGAGTTTCACTGTGCAGAGACGAAGGTCATCCACCACCACAGTCACAGGGTCCTGGCAGGATAAGGTGATAAGGGGCCAGATGTCCAGCTGCAGGCAAGAGCTGAGTCTCCCTGGGGCCCAGGCATCCAGGACCCAGGTCCACTCACCTTGTACTTCTTCTGGTAAACCAGTTGGTTGCTCTGAATGGTGAACCAGCGTCTGTAAGAGAAGGAAATCATTACAGACATAGGCAGCTTTAGGATGAGGGACGGAAGAGAGGCTGTGCTTTTTGCCCATGAGGATCTTACTGAGAGGACAGACACCTGGGCTGACTGTTCCACGAGACATTCCAGAGAAGGGTGGACAATTGTGCAGATTGGAACATCTAAAGGATGCTATTCCTATCTTGGACAACCCAGATTTCATATAGTTATGAAGACAACTTTCCAGCAGATGGCAGTAAAATTCTTTTTCTAATAAAATGTCTATTGCTACAATTTAAAAAATACTATTTAGGCTGGGCTCACACCTGTAATCCCAGCACTTTGGGAGGCTGATGGGGGTGGTGGATCACCCGAGGTCAGGAGTTTGAGACCACCCTGACCAATATGGTGAAACTCCGTCTCTACTAAAAATACAAAAATTAGCCAGGCGTGGTGGCAGGCGGCTATAATCCCACCTACTTGGGAGGCTGAGGCAGGAGAATCGCTTGAACCCAGGAAGCTGAGGTTGCAGTGAGCTGAGATCGCACCACTGTGCTGCAGCCTGCGCAACATAGCGAGGCTCCATCAAAAAAGAAAAAAAAAGAAAAAGAAAAAAAGAAAAGAAAGAATCTTGGGGGCCAGGTACAGTGGCTCACGCCTGTAATCCCAGCAAGTTGGGAGGCCGAGGCGGGTGGATTGCTTGATGTCAGGAGTTTGCAACCAGCCTGGGCAACATGGTGAAACCCTGTTTCTACCAAAAATACAAAAATTAGCCGAGCGTGATGGCACACGCCTGTGGTCCCAGCTATTTAGGATGCTGAGGAGGGAGGATCACTTGAACTCAGGGGATAGAGGTTGCAGTGAGCCGAGACTGCGCCACTGCACTGCAGGCTGGGCAACAGAGTGACACCCCATCTCAAAAAAAACAGAAAAAAAAAAAGAAAAGAAAAAGAAAAAAGAGTATCTTGGGGAAGCAGCTCCATTTTCTAATTTGTACAGAGATCCCATGTGGGCTAGCAGTGGCCCTAGAAGGGAAAGGAGTCAAGTCACAGCATGCCACCATCCTGTTCCAAACCCTATAGCGGCTCCCAATTGCTCTCAGAGTAGACCCCAAATCCCTACAAAAATCTATAGGGCCCTATAATGACTCATGCCCCCATTAGCTCCGATTTCATCTCCTGCACATCCTCCTCCCTCACTCTGTCCAGACCCAGGGCCACCACCCTGCTCTTCCAACTCCCCAGCTATCTCAGGGCCTTGGCACTGGCTCTTTCTTCTGTCTAGAACTTTCTTCCCCCAGATATCCTTCAAGTCTTTGTTCAAAAGTTACCTTCTCATGAAGCCCACACTGCCCAACTATTTAGAACTGTAACCCCTACCCAGCTCCCCACATCCCTTGCTTTATCATCTTTCTCCTATAGCAAGCACTATCACCTTCTAACATAGCACGTAATTTACATACTAGGTTTATCCTCTGTCTTTGCTGATGGAATGAAACTCTACTGAGGCAGGGGGGTTCGTCTGTTTTTCCTTGCAGTGCTTAGTGTGCTATTACCACTCGAAAATACATCATTGGGTGGGGCGGGCTGATTGGGGGTGTCCTCTCCTCACCTGCTCCAGGTCTTAAATGCGTTGCTGGCCCGTTTGAAGAGATGTCCTTCCATCACCAGGCCACCAGGCCCCTCTCTTAAGCTTGGTTCTGGCTCCTCCCCACCCAGCTCCTGGAGGCACAAGAGGATCAAAGGGCAACTGAGATGGGCAGACACCAAGGCCATAGGCATCTGCCTCCTGCCCACAGCCCTAGCCCTTACTTTCTGCTTTTTGAAATACTTTTTAAAATTTATTTTTAGAGACAGGGTCTTGTTCTTTCACCCAGGCTTAAGTGCAGTTGTGTGATCATAGCTCACTGCAGTCTTGAACTCCTGGGCTCAAGCAATCCTCCCACCTCAGCCTCCTGAGTAGCTAGAACTAGAGGTGCATGCCACCACACCAGCTAATTTTAAAATTTTCTGTAGAGATGGAGTTTCACTACGATGCCTAGGCTAATCTTGAACTCCAGGCCTCAAGCAATCTTCCCACCTCAGCCTCCCAACATGTTGGGATGACGGTCGTGGGCCACCGCACCTGGCCCCTCACCTTCTGTTTCAGCAGCACGTGTCTCTGCTCCATGTCCCTCTTCTCTCGTGCTGAATTCAAGACCAGCTGGTGCAACTGGGCACAGGAAGGGCATCTCAGATGTCCAAGGCCCCCCAGTTAGGAGTCCCTAACCTCCCTCTACCACCTGCTGTGCCCTGGGGCCCCACCTGGGCGCCCAGCTCCTTTCGATACTGGGACAGCCGGCTCAGCTCCTCATGGCCCTGCTGGAAATGGGTAGCCTGGGCCTCCACCAAACGCAGCACCTGGGGGACAAGGCGGGCAGTGGGAAGGCTGAGGAAGAACCCCTCTCCCCATTCCCTTGTGCTGGCAGCAGGCTCTTCTCCACCCTGCCCTCACCCCCGCCACAACTCACAAACTCCATGATGTCAAACTTCCTCTTGTCCTCAATCACGTTGATCTGAGGACGTAAAAGAGGACGTAAAAAACCCCAGATCAGTCTTGAAGACACAGCACCCCTTCCCACTGCACACTGGAGACCCCCAAGCCTCGAGGTGACACTTGAGGCTCTGGTACCCCAGGAAGACAGATTGGGGCAGGCACCTGCAGGGCATAATCCAGTGCCCGTCCCCGGTACCCAGCTCGAGCCGTCCTCAAAGCAGCTCCTGCCTCTTCTGCCTCCTGGGCCCGGCGCCTGGGAACCTCTGCGTTGTGGGTCAGGGCAGCCTCCAGGCTCTCAGCCCCCCGCCAGAAATCCCGGCGAGCCTCTCGGAAACCCCGCAGACCTCTGAGGATGGGAAAATAACACAGAATCGCAGCTAACACCCACCTGCCCCAGCAGAGCATTCCCAGGGTAAAGCCCTCATGTCCTTTCAGTTAGTCTCTGCAACGTGGGAAACCCAAGGTGATCCCTGGGACGGAAGTCAGGACACCAGAAACCCCCAATCTCACAACTCCGTCACTGGGGAGGCTCCTGTGGCCATGGGAAGAGGGCAGCAGGGCTGGTTTCCGAGAAATAAGGCCCCCTTCTCTCCCATCTCACTCCCCCTTTAAAAAATTTTTGTTGTTGTTGTTGTTTTTGTTTTTGAGACCGGGTCTTGCTCTGTTACCCAGGCTGGAGTACAGTGGCACAATCATGGCTCACCGCAGCCCTGACCTCCAGGCTCAAGCAATTCTCCTGCCTCAGCCTCCCAAGAAGCTGGGACAACAGACATGTGCCACCACGCCCGGCTATTTTTTTTTTTTTTTTTTTTTTTTTGAGGCAGAGTCTCACTCTGTTGCCCAGGCTGAAGTGAAGTAGTGCGATCTTGGCTCACTGCAACCTCCACCTCCTGGGTTCAAATGATTCTCCTGCCTCGGCCTCCTGAGTAGCTGGGATTACAGGCACCTGCCACCATGCCCGGCTAATTTTTTTTTTTCGTATTTTTTAGTAGAGCTGGGGTTTTGCCATGTTAGACAGGCTGGTCTCGAACTCCCGACCTCAGGTGATCCGCCCGCCTTGGCCTCCCAAAATGCCGGGATCATAGGCATGAGCCACCGTGCCCGGCCTAATTTTTGTATTTTTTGTGGAGACAGTTTCGCCATGTTGGCTAGGTTGGTGTCCAACTCCTGGGCTCAAGCAATCCTCCCGCCTTGGCCTTCCAAAGTGTTGGGATTACAGGCATGAGCCACTGCGCCCGGCCCCATCTCACTCCTTGACCAGGGTCTGGATCTGCTGCTGCAGTGTGTGTTGGGTGGCATCTAGAAGCTCCTGAGGGAAGGAGAAGTTGGTAGACTGGGGTCAGGACCACAGGTGACCTGGCCACCACCCCGACAATCCTTACCTTCCCCTACTTACCGCATGGCTGTCCAGCTTGTGGTTCAGGCTCACGGTGAATTTTTCCAGACACTCCTAGGCAAGAAGAGGCACAGAAAGAGTACCAGGCATGGGGTGGCAGCACCCTCCCGACTCGAGACCCAGCCTGCTACGGCTGTCATGGACAGCAGCCCAGCCCTGCTGTGGCCTGGAACCTGCAGACCCCAGGCCAGCCCTCCTCTTCCACAGCATCACCTCCTCATCCCAGACCCCTTCCCTCCCAGATGCAGACCCTCCGCATACCGCCATCATGGGCTCTGGTGGACCCAGGCGGGCCAGGTCACAAATGCCGACAACGAAGGCGCGGCTGGCAGCAAGGTAATGGCGCCCACTTTCCAGGAGACCAGTGCCCAGTTTCAGGAGCTGGGAAAGAAGGAGGGTAACAGGGAGCTGTGCCATCATCCTCACACCTGGTGATGCCCCCACACCTGCCCCACTTCCTCTCCCCTTGCCCAGGGCGGCGCTCCCCTATTCCTGCCTGGCCTCACTGCCCTCCAGGCTCATCCAGCTCTCCCTGTATCTAACACATACCTGCTGTGTTCTTATCGCTGCGTCTTTGCTCCCACTGCCTTGGGCCTGAAACCCAATTCCTGCCCATTCCTCTCAGCCTGTCGCCAACACCTCTGTCAGCCTTACCTCCAAAACATCTTTCCCTGTCCACTCGCACATATCTCTTCCTGCCCTGCCTACCTGCTTAGATCCAGAGCTCCGTGGAGATTCCTGCATGGTCTGGATGCTCTACCTGGTTGCTATTAAATTCTACAGTATTGGCCGGGCGTGGTGGCTCACACCTGTAATCCCAACCCTTTGGGAGGCCAAGGCGGGCCAGTCGCTTGAGCTCAGGAATTCAAGAGCAGCCTGGGCAACATGGTGAAACCTCATCTCTACTAAAAATTCAAAAATTAGCCAGGCATGGTGGCACATGCCTGTAATCCCAGCTACTTGGGAGGCTAAGGCAGGAGGACTGCTTGAACCCGGGAGGCTGAGGCTGTAGTGAGCTGAGATGGCACCAAGTGCCTATAATCCCAGTTACCTGGGGGGCTAAGGCAGGAGGACTGCCTGAATCCGGGAGGTCAAGGCTGCAGTGAGCCGAGATGGCGCTACTGCACTCCAGCCTGGGTGACAGACCGAGACTCTGTCTCGAAAAATAAATAAATAAATAAAATCTATAGTATTTACTGCTAGGAGTTGTCCCATTCTGTGCTCACTGCACGTTCCCTCATAAATATTAATCCATCATCTAGACCACGGGTCAGGGCCAAGAGGAAATGCCGGGGTACTCCTGGGGCCCATCCTATCTGGCTCTTTTGACTGACAAAGAGACTTGATAGGCCAGGCAAGGTGGCTCAGACCTGTAATCTCAACACTTTGGGAGGCTGAGGTGGGTGGATCACCTGAGGTCAGGAGTTGGATATCAGCCTGACCAACATAGTGAAACCCCATCTCTTTTTATTTTTCTATTTTTGAGACGGAGTTTTGCTCCGTTGCCCAAGCTGGAGTGCAATGGCATGATCTTGGCTCACCACAACCTCCACCTCCCAGGTTCAAGCGATCCTCCTGCCTCAGCCTCCAGAGTAGCTGGGATTACAGGTGCCCGCCACCACGCCCAGCTAATTTTTTGTATTTTTAGTAGAGACGGGGTTTCACCATGTTGACCAGGCTGGTCTCGAACTCCTGACTTCAGGTGATCCACCTGCTTCGGCCTCCCGAAGTGCTGGGATTACAGGCATGAGCCACTGCACCTGGCCTGACCGAGATCAAATCTTATCAGACATCACCATGGGTTGTCTGTGACAAGGTACAAGGATGTTCACAAATCACTGTGTGAATCTGAGGACTCTGTGTCTAGTTTTTTTCCTTACCATCTCAGCCCCTCCCCCTTAGATGAGTAAGAAACTTTCATAACACTGGACTAGTGACAGACTGGGACATCTGTTCAATAGAACAGTACTCAGCAATAAAAAGGAACAAACTGTTGATATGTGCAACAACTTGGATAAACTTCAAGAGCATTCATCTTTTAAAAAATTATGATTATTTTTAGAGTTGAGGTCTCTGTCGCCCAGGCTGGAGTGCAGTGGTGGGATCATAGCTCACTGCAGCCTTGAACTCCTGGGTTCAAGGGATCCTCCAATCTTAGCTTCCTGAGTAGCTGAGACTACAGGCACACACCACCATGCCTGGCTAATTTAAAAACAAAACAGAACATTATTTAGAGACAAGGGTCTTGCTATGTTGCCCAGGCTGGTCTCGAGCTTCTGGCCTCAAGCAACCCTCCTACCTTGACCTCCTGAGTAGTTGGGATGACAGGCATGAGCGACCACACCCGGCAGCAGCATTATTCTGAGTGAGGGGGGAGGGGGAAGCCAAATCTCAAAGGGTCACATAGTGTATGATTCTATATATGGAACATTCTGGAAATGACAAAAGTAGAGAGATGGAGAACAAATCAGCGGTTACCACAGATTAAAGAAGTGTGGGAAGGGTGTCGGGTACCACTGTAAAGGAATTCCTTGTGTCCATTGGTGTGTGGTGATGGTTAAAGGAATCCATACACGTGATAAAGTACCATAGAATTATACACAAAAACACCAAAAAAGAGTATATGCAAAATGTAAAATCAAAGTAGGATCTATAGAGTTTATTTATTTATTTAGAGACAGAGTCTTGGTCTGTCGCCCACGCCGGAGTGCAGTGGCACGATCTCGGCTCATTGCGACCTCCGCAGGCTGGAGTGTGGTGGCGTGATCTCGGCTCACTGCAACCTCCGCCTCCTGGGTTCAAGCAATTCTCCTGCCTCAGCCTCCTGAGTAGCTGGGATTACAGGTGCGTGCCACCACGCCTGGCTAATTTTTGTATTTTTAGTAGAGATGGGGGTTTCATCATGTTGGTCAGGCTGTTCTCGAAGTCCTGACCTCGTGATCCACCTGCCGCAGCCTACCAAAGTGCTGGGATTACAGGCGTGAGCCACTGAGCTTGGCTAGAGTTTATTGGGGTTTTTTGTTTGTTTGTTTTTGTTTATTGAGACAGTCTCACTCTGTCGCCCAGGCTGGAGTGCAGTGGCACGACCTCCACTCACTGCAAGCTCCACCTCCCGGGTTCGCGCCATTCTCCTGCCTCAGCCTCCTGAGTAGCTGGGACTACAGGCGCCTGCCGCCACACCCGAATAATTTTTTGTATTTTTAGTAGAGACGGGGTTTCACAGTGTTAGCCAGGATGGTTTCGATCTCCTGACCTCGTGATCCGCCCACCTTGGCCTCCCAAAGTGCTGGGATTACAGGCGTGAGCCACCACACCTGGCCGAGTTTATTGTTAATTGTAATGTGACACTATTAATGTCCTGGTTTTAATAATGTACTAGTATTGTATAAGATGTCACCACTGGGGGAAGCTGGGTGATGGGTACATGAGACCTCTCCTCACTAGTCTCCTGAGTCAATAATTTACTCAAAATAAAAAATTCAGGCCAGGTGTGGTGGCTCACACCTGTAATTCCAGCACTTTGGGAGGCTGAGGTGGGAGGATTACTTGAGGCCAGGAGTTCCAGACCAGCCTAGGTAACATAGGGAGACCCCATCTCTACAAAAAATAAATTTAAATTTAAAAAAGCCAGGCGTGGTGGCATGTGCCTGTAGCACAGCTACTGGGGAGGTTGAGGAGGGAGGATCACTTGAGCCCAGTATTGAAGCATCTGGGATCACAGCTGTGGCCACTCCATCCAGTCCATTGTTTAAAATTATTATTTGTAGGCCGGGTGCGGTGGCTTAAGCCTGTAATGCCAGCACTTTGGGAGGCTGCGGCAGGTAGATCATTTGAGGTCAGGAGTTCAAGACCAGCTTAGCCAACATGGTGAGACCCTGTCTTTACTAAAAATACAAAAAGAAAAAAAATTATCCAGGTGTGGTGGTGCACACCTGTAATCCCAGCTACTTGGGAGGCTGAGGTAGGAGAATCACTTGAACCTGGGAGGTGGAGGTTCCAGTAAGCCGAGATCGCACCACTGCACTCCAGCCTGGGTGACAGAGCGAGACTCCATCTCAAATAAATAAAAATAAAAATAAAATTATTATTTGTAGAGATGAGGTCTCACCATGTTGCCCATAAAACAATGTTGCCCACTAAATTTGTGACAATTTGTTACACAGCAATAGAGAACTAATATATAGCAAGCAAATACATAATGTGTCAGAGGTAAATGTTGCAGAGAAAAGTAAAGCGAAGTAAGGGGAATGAGAGAGCATTTGAGTGTGTATTTGTGTGAACATGCTGTTTGATAGAGTGCTCAGGGGACACCTTACTGTCTTGAATTGAAACGTTTCACTGGTTTGTCTTCTAGTCAGCCTTTGGGCTCCGTGGGAGCAGAAATGATCTTGTCCTCCCTGAATGCCCAGGGCCTGGCACAATGCAGGAGCTCAAGAGCAGAACAAGGAAGTCCAAAATTAAGTCTTTTTTTTTTTGACACAGAGTCTCGCTCTGTCGCCTAGCCTGGAGTGCAGTGGTGCGATCTTGGCTCACTGCAACCTCCGCCTCCCAGGTTCAAGTGATTCCTCTGCCTCAGCCTCTTGAGTAGCTGGAGCTACAGATGGGTGCCACTAAGCCTGGATGATTTTTGCATTTTTAGTAGAGATGGGGTTTCGCCATGTTAGCCAGGCTGGTCTAGAACTCCTGACCTCAGGTGATCCATTCACCTTGGCCTCCCAAAGTGCTGGGATTACAGGCATGAGCTACCATGCCTGGCCCAAAAGTAAGTCTTGTTTTCCAAGATCCTGAGCTTCTTGTCGGTACAGAACCACCTTTTTTGCTTCTCTGCAGTCTCCAAAATATCTCCCCTACACAGTATTCAATAATCCCTGGGATGCATTCTGTGTCTCCAGCTTTCTCCCTGGCCCTACCCCTCTCAACCTAATCCACTCCTGGGTCACCTCTCCATGTCAGGGTCACCTTTTCCAGACGGGTCTCCAATTCTGACACTTCGGCTTCCACCAGCTCAATAGAGGCTCTGGGAAAGAGGGGGTCATGGGAAGAGAGCTTGGGTCCATCTGGTCTGTCTGCCTCATCAGGCGGGATGGAGTCGCAGGGCGGTGGGTACGGAGGAGAAAGCTGCAGAGTTGAGAGGCTCGCCCCCCACCCACCTACTTGTGCTCTGCCCGCTCTGCAGTCTGGGAGCTACCACAGCCCAGGCCAGAGCAGGAAGGGTAGAAGGAGGGTGGATGTGGCCAGGGCAGGAAGTTGCTAACCGCCCCAGAGCAGGTGCTGGGGGAGGGGCAGGGGTCCCACTGAGAGGCCAGAGGGAATGCCAGCTCTAGGGGTGAGGGAAACTGCAGAGGCCAGGAGGAGCATGCAGGGGCAGAGAGCATTGGAGTACCCTGCTTTCACAGCTGGGGTACCACTTTGGCCCACAGGCTCGCTCCTGCCTCTTAGAGGCCTGCTCCCTGGAAGGAGACCTGGCCTGGGGAAAGGTGTGTGTGTGCTGGGGGTGTTAGACTTTCCCCTCCTTAGCCCCCCAGACCAGTTCACACTTACCGGAAACGGGGTGAGTCCTTGAGACACTCCTCGAAATCCAGCTTGACCGTCATCTCAGCTTGCCTGCTGTGGGGCCAGCGGGCCCTGGAGGCCGGGCCCCTGGGGATGCAGGTGGAGGCACTTTCTGTCCCAGGAAGGGGAGATGAGGGGGAAGGAGGAGAGGGACCTCCGCGGGGAAGGGCCTGGGGGCACAATTCTTTCCCCAAGGGGAAAGGGGTGTCCTAGGAGGAGCTCTCACCCCACACTTCCAGGCAGTGCTGGGAGGGGCAGGGGCGGGGCCTGGGCGGAGGATGGGGGCCTGAGATCAGAGAAGCCACAGCCCCACCCTCAGAGACGATCTGCCAGCTCCTTCCTCCTGGGGCTCTAGCCTCTGTTTCTTTCTCTCTTCGTGGTTATCTTGGGGGCCTGGCAGATCTAGGTTCAAATCCTGGCTCTGTCACTTAGAGGTTATGTGCCCCTGGACGAGCTCTCTGATTCCTCAGTTTTCTCATCTGGAAGATGGGAATGATAACCCCTTCCTCCAGGGCTGTACGAAGTGAAGAAGGTGATAGCAGTAAATTCATGGTTCACTAAATTTATTTATTTATGAGACGGAGTCTCCCTCCATCGCCCAGGCTGCAGTGCAGTGGCGCGATGTCGGCTCACTACAACCTCCGCCTCCTGGGTTCAAGCAATTCTCCTGTCTCAGCCTCCCGAGTAGCTGGGACTACAGGCTCCTGCCATCATGCCCGGCTAACTTTTTGTATTTTCAGTAGGGACGGGGTTTCACCTTGTTGGTCAGACTTGTCTCGACCTCCTGACCTCAGGTGATCCACCCACCTCGGCCTCCCAAAGTGCTAGGATTACAGGCGTGAGCCACTGTGCCCAGCTGGTTCACTATATTAATTGCATCAGTCATTGTCATCCTGCTACAGCTTGGGCCTGCTCCTGTGGAGTCCAGTACCCCGGACTGCTCCCAGCTTTCTTCGTTTTGCCGTCATATTCATGGTTCCTGTGTGTGAACTCCCCTTCCTCCTCCCCTCTCCTCAACGACTGAGCAGGCCCAGCCTGAGCACCCGATTCACAGCTCCCAGACTCTTGCTCTTCTGCTCTTTATTTCTATTCATAGGGTGGTCATGAAGGGAAGGTTGCCCCCACTCCGCCCCCAACCAGCCCCATTTTCCATTGTTTGCTTTCCTTTTCTTGAGTCCATTGAAGTCCCAGGGTTTCATCTGGAGAGAAGAGTTTGAGTTCATGGCTTTCTCGTAGCAGGCATGAGATCTTGTCCATGTGACTCTGGATCCCCTAGAACCTCCCCACTCAGCTCCTCTACCTCCCTGGCCAGTGTATGCATCCCCTTGCCTCTGCCCAGGCTCAGTGTGCCAGGCTGTGCTTGTTCTGGCTTGAGGAGTTGGGGTTGCTTCCACTCTCCCTCTCTGAACTCCTTGGGCTTTGCCAGCTCAGCCCCCCAGCCACCAGCTGGACACCACTTGAGACTCACTGTCTTTGGAGGACAGAGAAATACCTGGAGTGGGGTGGTGTGGCAGAGGAGTGAAGGAGGAGGCATGGAGCCAGTGTGTGGTGCCAAGCTGGAGGGGGTCCCAACCGCCTCTGAGTCTCCCTGGTTCCTCGCCTGTCCAATGTGGACCTTGGACTTGAGGCTGTTCAGGGCCTCTCCTTCCACCTGTTGCTGATGTACTGGCCTGAAAGAATTGGAGGGCTGGGAGATGGGAGCTTGCCAAGAGACAGCCCCAGGGAGATGGTGGCCTGGTGCCCTCAACAGGCTGCAATGTTGTCATTGTTGCCATCAGGGAGCTCTCCGTGGCCTTGTGATCCCTAAAGGGGCCTCCCATGTGGTCCAGTAGGTGGACTTCAGTGCTTACGGGGTTCTCAATCACCTAGGTCAAGCTTGTGGAGCCTAGAATCAGGGATCAGGGCTCGGGTACCCATCAGGCTGTGCATTCCCAGCCCTCCTGCCCCCTAGGCTGGCCTGCCCAGGTTCTCACCATCCTGATGCTCATCTTCCACGTCCTCTACAAGCTCTGGGTGGGAGCAGGACCTCAGGTATAGTCCTTTGCCATCATATTCCTTGTGCTGCAGAGCAATCTCCTGCCCCAATATGATAGTGGCCACAGCTGGGGGGACTGATTTCTGTAGGTGGAGGAATCTGAGGAATCAATCAAATGAATCCAAGTCTTCTAGCCATCTGGTGTATCCATGCCTCCCAGGTGTCTGTTGTGGGCCCTCACCAGAGGGGAGAAGCTCAGGCCCCAGATCCTCATCTCACTGACTTCTCTTACCCTTCCCATTTTAGAAAAACTTCAGTGACCGCTCCACCTCCCCCCATGGTTGTCTCGGACTTTTGTTTATTTTTTTATTTATTTTTTGAGACAAGATCTTGCTATGTTACCCAGGCTGGAATGTGTTAGTGCCATCATCGCTCACGGCAGCCTCAAACTCCTGGGCTCAAGCTATCCTCCCACCTTAGCCTCCCCAGTAGCCTGGACTACAGGTGCACGCCACCACACCTGGCTAATTAAAAACAATTTTTTTCTTTTTCTTTTTTTGTAGAGATGAGGTCTCCCTACGTTGCCCAGGCTGGTTTTGAACTTCTGGCCTCAAGCAATCCTCCCAAAGTGCTGGGATTACAGAAGTGAGCCACTGGGCCTGGCCAACAAATCAGCCCCCAATCAGACTTTCTGTTCCTCAACAGCCAATAATCTCCGGGGACTATCCTGAGTGGGGTCCTTCCTCCAGCTGCCCTCTTTCTTCCCTGGGGTTACTTCCCAGCATTAC
Organism: Homo sapiens; assembly: GCF_000001405.40. Classification (NCBI taxonomy): domain Eukaryota; kingdom Metazoa; phylum Chordata; class Mammalia; order Primates; family Hominidae; genus Homo; species Homo sapiens. The sequence goes on along the minus strand of NW_021160020.1, from coordinate 92,377 downwards.
CTCCCTGTCAGGCAGCAGAGTCTTGGGCTGATAGCCACTGAGGAAGACAGACTGTGGTAGAGAAGTGAGGAACGGGCTCTGGAATACAACCCCCTCTAGTCCCTGGAGCCCCGCCATCGCTAACCCTCGGCTTCAAGGATGTGCCTCCAGGTGACCAGGCCTGGCTCATCTTTGGCTCCTCTGGCTAGTTCTCCTGCCAAGCCTCTCTGCACAGGCCTGGGCTCTGGGTCCAGCATCACGCCTTGACTGCCACCGCTGATACTGATAATACCACCATTGTCATCCTCATCCTCTTCATTCTCCAAGGGCTGGTTTTTCTGAGCCTTGAGAAACTTCCCTTTGTCATAGTGTGCCTTGCGGCGCTTGTCAAAGTCGGTGGAGTCTGTGACCATGGTGAGAGCTTGGCTTTCCCACCGCACTCTTGCCAAAGGCTCGCTCCACCTCCCCCTTTCCATTCAATCCACAACCCTCATCTCATGTTGTGGGCGAAAGATTACCTAGGTGCCAAGGTAAGAGACTGAAGGCACAAACTGTTTCAGTATAATAAAGAAATAGTTAGAATAAGAATAGTCATAATACAAATTAGATATAGAGATGATCATGGACAATTATCAATCATTATTATAGACATTATTAATCATTAGCTTTTAATATTACTGTTTGTTGCATTACTAATATAACCTAGGAATAACCGGCGGGTATAGGGTCAGGTGCTGAAGGGACATTGTGAGAAGTGACCTAGAAGGCAAGAGGTGAACCTTCTGTCACGCTCGCATAAGGGCCGCTTGAGGGCTCCTTGGTCAAGCGGTAACGCTAGTGCCTGGGAAGACACCCGTTACTTAGCAGATCGCGAAAGGGAGTCTCCTTTCCTTGGAGGAGTCAGGGAACACTCTGCTCCACCAGCTTCTTGTGGAAGGCTGGATATTATCCAGGCCTCCCCGCAGTCATCCGGAGGCCTAAACCCCTCCCTGTGGTGCTGTGCTTCAATGCTCACGCTCCTTGTCCACTTTCATGTTCCTCCCGTACTCCTGGTTCCTCTTTGAAATTCGTAGTAGAGAGCAGTAGAAGAAATAGTGAAAGTCTTAATGTCTTTGATCTTTCTTATCAGTGCATAGAAGAAAACGCTGACGTATGCTGCCTTCTCTCTCTACTTCGGCTACCTAAAAGGGAAGGGCCCCCTGTCCTGTGATCACGTGACTTGCTGCACCTTGTCAATCACTTAGAAGATTCACCCTCCTTACCCTGCCCCCTTGTCTTGTATGCAATAAATATCAGCGCAACCAGTGGTTCAGGGCCACTACCGGTCTCCGCGTCTTGGTAGTCATCCCCCAGGCCCAGCTGCTTTCTCTTTATCTCTTTGTCTTGTGTCTTAATTTATTACAATCTCTCGTCTCTGCACACGGTGGGGAACACCCGCTAAGCCCCATAGGGCTGGACCCTACATCATGTATCTTGGAAAAGTTGTCTGCAGGCCCTGAGCTCCTGTCAGCACAGTCCTGGCGGAACCTGGGGCAGATACTGTCCATCATGGCAATCCTGAAGGGGCAGGAGACTAGTTGGGGGCATCAAGAGAAGAAAATAGCAATGGGGACAGGTGGTAAACGAGGCCAAATTGGCGGACCCCTGCCCCCATCCAGGCCTGATGGAAATTGTAGCACCTCCCACTGCAGGTGTCAGAAAGCAGACCCGCTGCAGACCTGAATTCAGGGCTGAGGGAAGGAAGAGGCCCCATAACCCGGCTGATCTCTGGCAGGACTCTTACCTCTCTGCCAGCACTCCAGGATTCACTGAGCAGGAGGAGCCGGCAGAGAGGTCCTCAAAACTGTCCTGCAGCCTGCAGAGGAGGGGGAAGCAGTGCCGGGAGGTGGGTGTCAGGCAGTATCCAGTCCCTGAGGCGCTCTGCCTCCTCCACCTGTCCCCTCCTTTAAATAGAGAAGAATCTCTGGACTGAAGGGTTGGGGCTGAGGGCTCAGCACCTGTGGTAGGGAGTGTTGGGCTCATCCACCATCATAAATCCATAGTCCTTGTCAGCAGGGCGGTAGGTGGCCAGGATATTCATCTCGTCCCAGTGCTGAGACTTCCTTCTGGGGCTGGGGGAGGAGACCTTCTAATGACCCCCCCATAGGCCTCCCTCATTTTCCCAGTCATTCAAAACAGGTTTTTTTTGTTTTTGTTTTTGTTTTTTGCTTTTGTTTTTGTTTTGAGATGGAATCTTGGCTCTGTTGACCAAGCTGGAGTGCAGTGGCACGATCACAGCTCACGGCAACCTCTGCCTCCCGGGTTCAAGTGATTCTCCTGCCTCAGCCTCCTGAGTAGCTGGGATTACAGGCGTGCGCCACCACACCTGGCTAATTTTTGTATTTTTAGTAGAGATGGGGTTTCACCATGTTGGTCAGGCTGGTCTTGAACTCCTGACCTCGTGATCTGCCTGCCTCGCACTCCCAAAGTGCTGGGATTACAGGCATGAGCTACCCTGCGTGGCATTCAAAACAGTTTTTGTTGTTGTTTGTTTGTTTTTTGAGATGGAGTCTTGCTCTGTTTTCCAGACTGGAGTGCAATGGTGTGATCTCAGCTCATTGCAACCTCTGCCTCCCCGGTTCAAGCCATTCTCCTGCCTTAGCCTCCCAAGTAGCTGGGATTACAGGTGCCTGCCACCACACCCGGCTTATTTTTGTATTTTTAGTAGGGACAGGGTTTCACCATGTTGGCCGGGCTGGTCTCGAACTCCTGACCTCAGGTGATCTGCCCACCTCGGCCTCCCAAAGTGCTAGGATTACAGGCATGAGTCACCACTCCGACTCAAAACAGGTTTCTTATACCTTGTTGAGGCTGGGGATGGGGTCAGACTTAATGATAATCACAGTCCTGTGCAGCCACGGTTTATGGGGCACCTGCTCTTCTCCCGAAAGCCTGGAACCTCGGACTTCCCACTCAATTGCCCTCACCTACTCTAACTCTTCATTCTTAAGGCTCTGCCCCTTTCCTTCTGGCTCCCACCCTCAGGTGTCCTGAACCCTCCCGACTCTGGGCTGGCTGCCCGCAGAGCTGGGCTCCTTACTTCTCCACATTGGGGGATTTCTGCATCAAGTTGGAGCTGTTCTTTCGTAGGATGCTCCGGGGCCGGTCCTGTTGGGAGTTTTGGGGGTTCAAGCAAGTTGGCCCAGAGTGCGGACTGCACCCGGGGCTGTTTACCTCTTGCCCTGCAGGTCCCCCAGGCCCGGGGCTGGAAGCCCTGGATACACTGGTTCGAGGCCCGGGGATGTTGAATCCACCAGGGTTCCTGCCAGACCCAAGGCTGTGGTTCGCAGCCTCCCTTGGGTGCTGACTGGGCCCGGAACCAAGGACCACTATCCCCCCGGAGGGACAGCTTGAACCAGTACTATGAGTTACGGAGCCCCCTGAGTGCACGTGGGGCCCAGAACCGTGAAACAAGACTACTCTGGAGGGCTGCCCAGCGCCTGCCTCGACTCCTGTGACCGCTGCGGGCACTCCTCTGGCTGCCCCTCCAGGGGAATCCCGGTTGAGGCCGCCAGCAGCCCCTAGGGACTCCACCTTCTCCATGGCCCCACTGGGGGGCTGCTCTCAGCGATCCTGACCCGCCTCCCGGCTCCACGTAGCCCCGCCCCTGGCCCCGCCCCCACCGCTGCCGGCCGGGGATGCTCGGGCTCAGTCCCGGGTCCACTTCTCCCCTGCTCCAGAGCTGCGGCGGGCGGAATCAAGACTATATAGAGACTCGGGCTGGGGGTCCCTCCGCTCGCCCCTTTCCTTTGTGTCCCACCCAAAGATTTTCTTTGTCTGGGCAATTTGTTCCCGCCCTTCTCCATCACCACCCTCATCCAAACCAGCCAATCCCAGTCAGGGGGCCAGGCCAGGAGCTTCGACTGTGACCTCACGGTCCTCCAGCCTGAGCTTGAGCTTCGGGGAGTTGGGCAGGGGGCTTGTTAATAGCTCTAAGGGAGATCTTTTGGGGTCATCAACGCTGTCGCTTGAAACGGCCTGTCGGGACTTCTTTAGACTCTTTGTGGTCTTAACATGGAATAGTTTGGTTGAGTTGGAGTTGAAGCTGGGCTTGACTTGAACTATCAGCGAGCTTCCCCCACCCCCGCCAGTCGGCTAGCTCAGCCAATCAGAAGAGGTGTGAGGCAAAGTGGAAGGACTGCCGCACTGTTGCAAGACACTTCGTCCTCAGTCGGGTGGCGGGAAGAGACTTTCACTACCGCTTCTCTGGGTCCTCCAGACTCGGCTCACGCTGCTTTGGAGCCTGCATCCCGAGGGGAGACACCCCCTCTTGCCGTAAAGCGAGTGCTTCAAGGTGTCACCGCCCCCTAGCGAGGGCGGGGTCGTCGGTGCCGCTGTCGCAAAGCAGAAAGTGTTTGGGCTCCAGCACCCCACCGTCGTAAAGATGCCTGCGGTGGGCGTGTCTTTCTCCCACTGTCGCAAAAGCTCCCTGCCCAGGTCTTCGTCCCCCTCGGAGCCGCTCCGTCACCTCGCTATGCCGTAAAGCGAGGCTCCCGACCCCGTGTCCTTCTGTTCTCATCGTGGTCGTCCCCAGCTCCTAGCGCGGGCTGCTTCATTGCCCGGCAGTGCCGTAAAGCATACCTGGCCTCAGCCCCCCGGTCGTATCCCTCGGACTGTCTGCCCGACGCGGTTGCCACGGTGCCGCCAAGCGCGGCTGTCGCGCTGCCCCGGTGTCAGCGGAGATGGCGGCAGGGTCGGGTGGGAGTGGGGGCTCTGGGGGAGGCCCTGGACCGGGGCCGGGCGGGGGTGGGGGCCCCAGCGGGAGCGGCTCAGGACCGGGGTCCAACGGGGGTCTGGGCAGCGGCGGGGAACTGCACCCGCGCACTGGGCGCTTGGTGAGCCTGTCGGCCTGTGGGCGTACGGCGCGGCGGCAGCAGCCGGGCCAGGAGTTTAACCACGGGCTGGTGTTGAGCCGAGAACCCTTGCGCGATGGACGCGTCTTCACCGTCCGCATCGACCGCAAGGTGCAGCGCTGGTACCGCGGAACAGAGATGTGGAGGGTGGTGGGAGGCGTCTAGAGGGAGACGGGGTAGGACAGCCAGGGTAGCCCACATTGCCGGGCACCGAGAGGGAACAGAAAGACCATAGAGCACCAGGGGGCGGTCAGGAAGACAGCATGAAGCAGAAACATTGAGTTTGAAGATGACATTAAGAGCTTGAGTTTTCTCAAGATCCAGAACCAGGGAAGGGACACGAGGGCTAACCCACTAGAATGGCTGGGAACAGACCTCCTGGTACAATTTCTTGGGCATGGAGGATGGAGAGATGTCAGAGATGTGATGGCAAGTGAAGAAAGATGCCAAGGAACGAACAAACGTAATCCCAGCACTTTGGGAGTCCGAGGCGGGCGGATCACTAGAGTCAGGGGTTTGAGACCAGCCTGGTGAACGTGGTGAAACCCCGTCTTTACTAAAAATACAAAAATTGGCCAGGCATGGTGGCGTGCGCCTGTAATCCCAGCTACTCTGGAGGCTGAGGCAGGAGAATGGCTTGAACCCGGGAGGCAGAGGTTGCAGTGAGCTGAGATCATGCCATTGCACTCCAGCCTGGGCAATAGAGTGAGTGAGACTCCGTCTCAAAAAAACAGAACAAACCATTGAAGGACAGAGGCTGTGCCAGAAAGATAGGTGAGGAGAAAGATCCAGGGTGAGGGAGGTGTGTGTGATTCAGTGAAGAGGCCAGGCTCACAGAAAAAGAACTTGGAAGGAGATTGAATCTGGGTAGAGCCTGATCTTTGGAGAGAATTAGGCCAGGGGAAAGGAATGAATGATACACAAGAGCAAGAGGTGTGGGTATAGGAAGTAGGAGAATTTGGATGGTTGGAGAGCCATAGAGACAAGGAAAGTTAGAGGAGGCAGGAGGTTGGAACCAAGGAATTTGTGCTTGGCTTGGAAAGGAGTGGTTTAGTAAACACTGAGTAGAGAGCAGAGTTGCTAAAGGAAAGCCCAAATAATTACCAAGACGGAGTCCAGAAAATCACTGTCTGCATCTCTGGATTAGTGTTCCAAGAGACAGAAAGCCAGCTAGCTGTCTGAGAGGTGGGAAGATATGGTGGCCTGTGGAATGGGGGGTGGCCCATTCTAAGCCTCTGTCCAATACCCCTATCCCAGGTCAACTCCTGGAGCGGCTCCATTGAGATTGGGGTGACAGCGCTGGACCCCAGTGTGCTGGACTTTCCAAGCAGTGCCACGGGCCTGAAGGGGGGCTCGTGGGTAGTGTCGGGCTGCTCTGTGCTGAGAGATGGACGCTCTGTGTTGGAGGAGTATGGTCAGGACCTGGACCAGCTTGGTGAAGGGGACCGCGTGGGCGTGGAGCGCACAGTTGCTGGGGAGCTTCGGCTCTGGGTGAATGGGCGGGATTGCGGTGTGGCTGCCACAGGCCTGCCCCCTCGTGTCTGGGCCGTCGTGGACCTTTATGGCAAGTGCACCCAGATCACCGTGCTACCCCCTGAGCCAGGCTTCAGCCCCCCTACTCCCATCCCCACACCTCCCCTCGAGCCCTTGGCCCCCACTGAAGACTCTGCCTTGGCTGAACAGGGGACCTCTGCAGATGAAGGTGAGAACACAGCTAGGGCAGTGGTGGTGGGGTGGGGACGGAATGGGGGAAATAGAGTGACAAGACAGGCTGGGTGTGGGCAGGGCCACCCTGATCCCCAAGTCTGTTGAATGGGAGAGCAGGAGCTAGAGGATGGGGGGTTCTCCTGGCTATGGGCCGTGAAGCAGGGACTGAACCCTTATTCCCCTCCCATCCCACCTGGTCCCCAGCCTTCATGGTGTCCCCAGCGCAGGCCCGGCCGGAGACGTTTCCTAACAGCCTTGAGTCGCATAATGGTGAGGGCTTTGGGGAGGCCCTGGGAAGGGGAGTGGGAAGTGAGGTGGACAAGGGAGGGCCCTCAGGAGAAGGGGTAGGGAGAGAGGCACCAGGTCTGGGGGTGTAGAGCCTCATCCCAACTTCCGAGCTTCCTTCTTCCATCCTGCTGCTATAGACTTTGCCAACATGGAGCTGTCTGAGGTGGTGAGCAACACCATCCTGTCTGCCTACAATGGAGGGCTCCTGAATGTGAACCTGAGCTCCCCACCGGCAGGGGAAGGCCTGGGATCTAGCGGTGCTGCCACCTCGCCCATTCTCACTTCCAACGATGCCCTGCTCTTTCATGAAAAGTGCGGGACCCTCATCAAACTCAGCAACAATAATAAGACGGCTGAGCGCCGGCGGCCCCTGGATGAATTCAACAATGGGGTTGTCATGACCAATCGCCCCCTTCGGGACAATGAGATGTTTGAGGTGTGCAAAGTCCTGTGGTCTGGTTGGCGCCTTATCCCTGGGAGCTAAAGATGGGGATTGACCCTTGGTGCTAGGAGGGTGGGCCCTGGGGAAGAACCAAGGGCTGAAGGTCCCTTTCTGCATTTACATTCCCTGCTTCTCCCTTCTGTCCCTCAATGCCAGATCCGTATCGACAAGCTTGTTGATAAGTGGTCAGGCTCCATTGAGATTGGGGTCACCACCCACAACCCCAACAGTTTGGAGTACCCAGCCACCATGACCAACCTCCAGTCAGGTACCAGCCCCGGGCAGGGGCGGGGGTGCAGGCCTGGTGTTGCTGAGGGGAAGGAAGCCCCGTACCCGAACCCAAGTGTCCACTATCACCCAGGCACCATCATGATGAGCGGCTGTGGAATCCTGACCAATGGCAAGGGCACCCGCCGGGAGTACTGCGAATTCAGTCTGGATGAGTTGCAGGTGAGGGTGGGGCACAGATCCCTGGGCCGCTTTCAGCAGAGCCACAGGTACTCTGTGTCCCTGCCAGGGCACCAAGCAGGGTCTCCTATGTGACCTAGAGGCAGTCCCTGTATCTTCCACCTAAAGGTTCCTTCCTAGAAGCCTGAGTTGCCCAAGAGTTCAGCACTCAGATTTTGGAGTCAGATGGTTGAATTCCTCTTACTGTTTTCCCATTTGTAGTAGCGAACCGGGGCAAGAAGCTTATCCTCTTTGATTGCTCCCCCACCTCCTGCAATCTCTAAAATGAGCCTACGAGTAGTACTTATTCCATAGGCTGAGACTTGTAGAAGCTAATGTCTGTGAGGTGGTTTAACTCAGTGCCTGACTCACGTGGAGCATTGACGAAATGTGGAAATTGTCATGTCTGGAAAACAAGGACCCAGGACCTGTCCTCCAGGGTGGTCTGAGACTCTCACGAATACCTTCTGGAGTTGTTCCTGTGTGGAGTGGGGTGCTGAGCAGGCCTCAGGACTCCTCTAAACTGTTTGTCTTCTTTGATTAGGAGGGTGACCACATTGGCCTCACAAGGAAGTCCAACTCTGCCCTACACTTCTTCATTAATGGTATCGATCAGGGTAAGGGCCGCCCAGAGAGAGCCTCTGGGCCGGGGCTTTCGGTGGGGCTGGGACTGGGGGCTGTACCTCATCCTCCTGCTTCTCTTTGGTGCTTGGCCTCCCTGTGTTTGACTTTCTCCCCTCATTCTCCCTGTCCACTCCCACACCCCCGTACCTTCCTGCCACAGGAGTGGCAACCCCCTTGACGCCCCCAGTGGTGTATGGTGTGGTGGACTTGTACGGGATGGCAGTGAAGGTGACCATCGTCCACAATAACAACCACAGTGACCGTCTCCGCCGAAACAACGCCATCCTGCGGGCGCTGTCCCCCGAGGGTGCTCTCCGCCGTGCTGCCCCTGCCGCCCAGGCAGAACCTGAGCGCCTGCTCTTCCACCCCAACTGTGGGCAGAAGGCAGCCATCACCCACGAGGGACGCACTGCCCTGAGGCCCCAGTATGGCCCATGGGGTGGGGAGAAGCCTGAAGAAGGGATTCTAATGGGGGGGGGGGGGCGGGGCAAGGAAGTGGAAGGCAGAGGGAGCCTGGCGGGGGCAGCTTCCTGGAGGTTGAGCTTTAGTTCTTTGGCTTGGGGCAGTGAGTGTTGGCAGGCATTGCTGGGCTAAGCCTTGGCACATTGAGAGCGTGTGTTGGGGATCTGACTCTCCACTTGCTGTGCCCTCAGTGCCACCGATGACTTCAATCACGGCGTGGTGCTGAGCAGCAGAGCCCTGCGGGATGGAGAGGTGTTCCAGGTGCGCATCGACAAGATGGTGGACAAATGGGCTGGCTCCATTGAAATTGGTGTCACCACCCACAACCCTGCCTACCTCCAGTTGCCCTCCACCATGACCAACTTGCGCTCTGGTGAGCTCCCAGGAAGGGCAGGGACAGGATAGGGTTTTGGGGGGAAGCTATCCCCAAAGCCCTGGCACTTGTTCTGCAGCTCCTTTTTCACTTGTCACTCTTGTGACCACTCATTCAGTGGCTAGAGAGTGTCCCGTGGGCAGGGCTGTGGCTGTCTTGGAAGCTGCAGAGTTTTCTTGTCCTGCTCAGGGAAGAAATCTAGTCATCAAAGAAAAGGCAAGGTGGACTGTGGGCTCGGGAGTCCTGTGGGCGCTGCTGTGGCAAGGAGAGGAGCCCTGCATTTCCCCTCATGTCCCCTCCTGCTCCTTGTCCTCCCAGGGACCTGGATGATGACTGGGAATGGGGTGATGCACAATGGGACGACCATCCTGGATGAATACGGGCACAATCTGGACCGCCTCAAGGTGGGAAAGTGGGTGCGCCGCCTGGCGGCCGCAGCGGGCATCACAAACACCGCGGGGCTGATGCAGGACCAGCCCCGGCAGGAACTCTGCCTGACTCCTCACTCCAGCACCCCCTTCTTCCAAGGCAGGGGACACGGTGGGCGTGGTACGGCGGGAGGACGGGACTCTCCACTTCTTTGTCAATGGGATGACTCAGGGCCCTGCTGCCTGGAACGTGCCCCCGGGCGTCTATGCTGTCGTCGATCTCTATGGCCAGGCGGCCCAGGCCACCATTGTGGACGACGTGGGTGAGGGCCGGGCTGGGCTGGGGCTGGGGGTTAGGGTGGCCTTGGGAGGTCTGAGAGACACCTAGAGACCTGATGGGTGATGTCCACTTTTACAGAGGTGGCTCCAGTTCCTGAACCACTCCCTGAGGGGAACAACCAGGTGTCTCCAAGCTCTCCGTCCTCAGGGGCCGGGGGCTCTGACCTGCGCTTCCATCAGCTGCACGGCAGTAACGCAGTCATCACTAACGGGGGCCGCACCGCCCTCCGCCACAACTGTCGCAGCGAGTTTAATGACGCCATCGTCATCTCCAACCGGTCAGTCTCTCAACTTTCATGTCCCCACCTTCCTCCTGCCCAGCCTCAGCCATGCAAGTAGAGCCTCTCTGATCGCCAGTCTCCTGGCAGGGCCCTGCGGGATGGAGAGCTGTTTGAAATTGTCATTCAGAAGATGGTGGACCGCTGGTCAGGCTCCATTGAGGCTGGTGAGGGCCGTCTGTGTGTGTTGGGGGCTGTTGGATGTCTGTGCCTTGGGGATCGGCCTTGACTTACCCCTGCCTCCTCCCAGGAGTGACTGCTATTCGGCCTGAAGACCTGGAATTCCCCAACACCATGACAGACATTGACTATGACACATGGATGCTGAGGTTGGGCTTCCTGCTTTGGGGACCAGCTTGGGGCTGAGTGGAGCTGGCTGGGATCAGGGAAGCAAGGTTTGGGCCTATGGTGGCTGTGGGTAGTGACAGACCTAGGGGATCTACCTGTCCCCTCCCCTTGAATTCTGGGAAGTCCTGCCCAGGCCCACAGGGGCTCAGTCCTCCTTCATCTTAGGCAGTTCTTGCTTTTTCCTAAGGGGATCCCAGGGACAGAGGAGATAGGATTGGGCCTTACACCCAGATCAAGACACCAGCCCAAGACATTGGAGGGTTCTGACAGACAGGGAGTGGGCAGGGGCCAATGTGAAGTTGAAGTTGGCAGGCTGACTCACCCCTTCTGCCATCCCCCCAGTGGTACAGCCATCATGCAAGACGGTAACACGATGCGCAACAATTATGGGTGTGACCTGGATGCGCTGGGCACAGGTGCACGCATTGGCATGATGCGAACTGCCAAGGGCGACCTGCACTACTTCATCAACGGCCAGGACCAAGGCGCTGCCTGCTCGGGCCTGCCTCCGGGTAAAGGTGACTATGTGGCTTTCAGCCTGCCACCCTCAGCCCAGACCACCTGGCTGTCAGGCTTCTGACCTTCCCTCTCCTCCCCAGAGGTGTATGCGGTAGTCGATCTCTATGGCCAGTGTGTCCAAGTGTCCATCACCAATGCCACCGGCCCCATGGACAACAGCCTGGCGACCAGCAACACTGCCACCGAGAAGTCCTTCCCACTGCACTCCCCAGGTGCGGCAGCAGGGCGGGGGCTGGACGGGCTCTGCTTGCCTGCTGTGCACCTGAGGAGTAGGGTTTCCAGGTTAGAGAGGTTCTGCAAAGACGGTTGGCTGGGGTAGCTGCCGGCTCCAGGGAAGGGACAGCCCACGGTGGCAAGCAGCCAGTGAGGGGGAGGTTACACCTGGTACTTAGAGCCTGGACACTTCCCTGCCACCAAGGGGCCAGGACACCATAAGCTGAGCATGCCAGGTTTGGAAATGGGCCTTGCTGTGGTGAAAAGAGGTATCAGGGCCGGGCGCAGTAGCTCACGCCTGTAATCCCAGCACTTTGGGAGTTCAAGGCAGGTGGATCTCTCGAGCACAAGAGTTTGAGACCAGCCTGGGAAACATGGCGAAACCCCGTCTGTACCAAAAATACAAAATGTAGGCAGGTGTGGTGGCATGCACCTGTGGTCCCAGCTACTTGAGAGGCTGAGGTGGGAGGATAGCTGGATCCCAGGAAGTCGAGGCTGCAGTGAGCCACGACTGTGCCCCTGCACTCCAGCCTGAGTGACAGAGCGAGACTCTGCCTCAACAAAATACAATAAAGAGGTGTCAGGAGGCCCTGAGGTGTAATGGCAGATGGCAGATGGGGCGTTGGCATCCCCATTTCGTTTCATCTGAAAGCTTTGCTCTGTGTTCTGCCTGAAGCTCGCTGCCCCAATCCTACCCCTTCTACTGGTGCCATCTCTTCACAGTGGCTGGCGTGGCTCACCGATTCCACAGTACTTGCGGCAAGAACGTCACTCTAGAGGAGGATGGCACGAGGGCAGTGCGTGCCGCTGGCTATGCTCATGGCCTTGTCTTCAGTACCAAGGAGCTGAGGGCTGAGGAAGTCTTTGAGGTAGGCCGTAGTGATGTGACAGAGGGGCTGCGAGGCCCATCACGACAGGGCCAGCTTATGTTTTCTCTGTCTCGTAGGTGAAAGTGGAAGAGCTAGATGAGAAGTGGGCAGGTTCCCTGCGGCTGGGGCTGACCACACTAGCACCGGGGGAGATGGGACCCGGGGCAGGCGGTGGTGGCCCAGGGCTGCCTCCTTCCCTGCCAGAGCTCCGGACGAAGACCACTTGGATGGTATCCAGCTGTGAAGTGAGGCGTGATGGGCAGCTCCAGAGGATGAACTATGGCCGGAACCTAGAGAGGCTGGGGGTGAAGTGGCTGGCTCCAGGGACAGGGGAGGGGTTGGGAGTGGAGGTGGCAGGGAGAGGTGGGCTGAACATCGTCCGTCCTTGTCCTACCTCGGTCCTAGGTGGGGAGCCGTGTGGGTGTTCGTCGGGGGGCAGATGACACGATGCACATCCTGGTGGATGGAGAGGATATGGGGCCTGCAGCCACTGGCATTGCCAAGGTAGACCTGAACGCTTCCTTGGGTTCTGGGAGGATGGTTGAGGTCTTCTGCTGATCTCTGATTTTCTGGGTCTTGTGTGCCTCCCAGAACGTGTGGGCTGTGTTGGATCTCTACGGGCCAGTCCGCGGTGTGTCAATTGTCAGTTCCACGAGACTGGAGGAGTCAGAAGGCACCCAGCCTCCTTCCCCCAGTTCAGACACCGGCAGTGAGGGCGAGGAGGATGACGAGGGCGAGGAGCATGGCCTGGGAGTAAGAGGCTGCAGCATGGTCTGCTGTGCACATGGATGGGCAGTTGCTGGGCCGTTGGATGCCAGGCCTTTTCTGGGTTCTCTGATCGTTGGGTGGAGGCTCACACTCAGGATCTGTGCAAACTCCAGTGGGGTGGGTCAGTCCTGGCATTGGCAACCCATGCAGCTCAGTCCCTTCCTCCACACCAGGGCCAGAATGAAGTGGGTATTATACCCACCACCCTCGAGTTCCTGGAGAACCATGGGAAGAATATCCTTTTGTCTAATGGGAACCGTACGGCCACACGGGTGGCCAGCTACAATCAGGGCATCGTTGTCATCAACCAACCTCTGGTGCCCCAGCTGCTGGTGCAGGTGGGTTCTCCCTCCCTATCCCCAGCTTCTCTCGCTCCACAGTGACCCATGGCCAACCCCCCTGAAAAAAGGCCTTTTTGTGTGGAGAAAAAGAAAGCAAGCCACTTGGATGAGCTTCCTAGGCTTTTATTCATAGCCTGTAATGAGGGTCATCAGTCAGTTACCACGAAGTCCCTACCTGGTGATTGGTGAGGGAAGCAGTAGGGACAGGCTGGAGGAGTCCAAGAGAAATGCCTGATCCTATATGTGGGAGCAGAGAGGGCTTTCCAGAAGAAGGTGCCTTTTTGCTACAAACTGAAAGATATGTGAAAGTTAGCCAGCTGAGCCCGGGTGCGGTGGCTCATACCTGTAATCCCAGAACTTTTGGAGGCCAAGGCAGGCGGATCGCTTGAGCTCACGAGTTCGCGACCAGCCTAGGCAATATAGTGAAACTCTGTCTCTACAAAAAAAATACAAAAATTCTCCAGGCATGGTGGCACGAGCCTGTAATCCCAGCTACTCGGGAGGCTGAGGTGGGAGGATCACTTGAACCTGGGAGGCAGAGGTTACAGTAAGCCGAGATCACGCCACCGCACTCTAGCCTGGGAGATAGAGCAAGACCTTGTATCTTAAAAAAAAAAAGAAAAAAAGGCCAGGCTCAGTGGCTCATGCCTGTAATCGCAACACTTTGGAAGGCCGAGGCGGGCAGATCACGAGATCAGGAGATCAAGACCATCCTGGCTAACACGGTGAAACCCCGTCTCTACTAAAAAATACAAAAAATTAGCCGGGCGTGGTGGCGGGCGCCTGTAGTCCCAGCTACTCGGGAGGCTGAGGCAGGAGAATGGCTTGAACCCAGGAGGCGGAGCTTGCAGTGAGCCGAGATCGCACCGCTGCACTCCAGCCTGGGCAACAGAGCGAGACTCCGTCTCAATAAAAAAAAAGAAAGGAAAAGAAAACTAGCTAGGTGAAGGAAGTCCTAGGAATAAGAATCCTTAGAGATCCTTACAGAGGCAACAGCAAGGTCAAGGCTCAAACAGCATGTTTTTTTTTTGTTTTTTTGTTTTTTTGTTTTTTTTGAGACGGAGTTTAGCTCTTGTCGCCCAGGCTAGAGTGCAATGGTATGATCTCGGCTCACCGCAACCTCCACCTCCCGGGTTCAAGCGATTCTTCTGCCTCAGCCTCCCAAGTAGCTGGGACTACAGGCATATGACACTACGCCCGGCTAATTTTGTATTTTTAGTAGAGACGGAGTTTCACCATGTTGGTCAGGCTGGTCTCAAACTCCTGACCTCAGGTGATCCACCCACCTCAGCCTCCCAAAGTGCTGGGATTACAGTGTGGGTCACCATGCCCGGCTGGCGGTTCTTTTTTTTAAAAAAAAAAAAAAAAAAAAAAAAAAAAAGAGGGAAAGAAACAACTAAATTAGCGTTTTCTGGTCCTTCCAAGCATAAGAAAAGGCAGCATCCCAGGCCACATTCTGGGAGGTGCAGTATTCCCTCTCTGGCTGGGGTGCGGAGCCTGGTTCTTCCCAGGAGGCTGTGATTATGGAGTAGTTCTTTCTTCCCCAGGTGCGGATAGATTTCCTAAACCGACAGTGGACATCTTCCCTTGTCCTGGGAGTCATCACCTGCGCGCCTGAGAGGCTCAACTTCCCTGCTTCTGCCTGTGCCCTCAAACGGGCAGCCTGGCTGCTGCGGGGCCGTGGGGTCTTCCACAACGGTCTCAAGGTGAGTAGGAGCCAGAGAGAAGGAACAGGACCAGGCCTGTGAGTAGAGAAGGGCTGGCCAGAAGGGAGAAGTGGGCCCCTAGCCTTGGAGGTAGGACCACAGGTGTAAAAGGGGAACAGTAATGGGCAGGCAAGGGCGAGTAGCATTGCCTGGTCAGTCTTAGGCCTGCTGCTTCCTGCGGTGTCCCTGCCATTGAGAATGTGCCAGTTTTGGGGAAGGGGAGGGGCTCTAGGTAACTGCAGTGGGAGGAGAACCTCGGCAGTGGGCAAGCATGGAGGCAAAGCCAAGGCACTGGCAAAAGGAAGCAGAGCAAAGGGCGGGACAGCTGCCGCGGTGGAGTCTGACCTCTGGAAGACAGCCGGTCTCTCCTCCCAGATCTGCGAGAAGTTTGGGCCCAATCTGGACACGTGCCCTGAAGGCACCATCCTGGGACTGCGGCTGGACAGCTCTGGGGGGCTGCATCTTCATGTTAATGGGGTGGACCAGGGGGTAGCTGTGCCAGATGTGCCCCAGCCCTGCCATGCGCTTGTGGACCTCTATGGGCAGTGTGAGCAGGTTAGTGGCAGTGGGGGCAGGGAGGAGGGGTGCCTGAGAGTCTGCGCTGTCCAGGACAGGGGAAATCTCTGTTCCAGGGAGGGATCAGCAGGCCCTGGGGTCTGACCAAGCTCTGTCTGACTACCCTCTCCCCTGCAGGTGACAATCGTGAACCCTGAGCCAGGGGCTGCCAGTGGGAAAAGTGCTGGAACCCAAGGGGACATGGAGAAAGCAGACATGGTGGACGGTGTGCCAGCCCAAAGGGACCCAGCTCCTGCCCCTACTCCCCCACCCTCACCCTTCTAGCCCAGCTCCTGTGACCTGTGCCCCTCTGCTCCCTCAGGTATCAAAGAGAGTGTGTGCTGGGGTCCACCACCTGCCGCTAGTCCTCTAAAGAGCTGCGAGTACCATGCCCTTTGCTCTCGCTTCCAAGAACTCCTGCTGCTTCCCGGTGAGTCCCACAGTCCGCCAGAACTGACTTCATTCCCAGGGCCAGGCCTAGAGCCTTGGAGAGCAGCTGGAGGGTGCCACTGTGGTTGAGGTGGGAGCCACAGCACCAAGCCTGCTACTCACTGTCCCGCAGAAGATTATTTCATGCCTCCGCCAAAGCGAAGCCTGTGCTACTGTGAGTCTTGCCGGAAGCTGCGAGGAGACGAGGCCCACAGGCGCAGAGGGGAGCCTCCCCGGGAATATGCACTGCCCTTTGGCTGGTGCAGGTTCAACCTCAGGTACATATGGGCAAGGTCATGCCTTTCCCCTACTGTTTTCCCCCTGGAGAAACGGGGATCCCAAGAGGGTGCATGGAAGAAGTAATAGAACTTCCTGTCTAAGGAAAAGCCAGGAAGTGCCAGGGACTTCCTGTCTAAGGAAGAGCCTCGTGAAGCTCCTCCACTGGGGAGTCAGTGGCCTTCGTTGTATCTGCCCCGCTTGTCCACCTCCTAGAGTGAATCCCCGCCTGGAGGCTGGGACACTAACCAAGAAGTGGCACATGGCATATCACGGGAGCAATGTTGCCGCTGTACGGAGAGTGCTGGACCGAGGGGAGCTGGGAGCAGGTACTGGCGAGTAGGCCCATGCAAGGTGGGCTGAGCCTGGGGGGCTGTGGAGGAATAAAAAGGGCTATCCTGACCCAGTTCTCCTCCCAGGTACTGCCTCCATCCTGAGCTGCCGTCCTTTGAAGGGAGAACCTGGGGTAGGGTTCGAGGAGCCTGGCGAGAACTGTGCACCTCCTCGGGAGGAGCAGCCCCCTCCTGTGCTGCTTTCCCCCTCCCTTCAATATGCTGGGGCGGAGACCCTGGCCTCCAAAGTGCAGTGAGTACTGGGAGGGGTGGGGAGAGATTTCCAGGGGCTCGGATGGAGAGGGCCCAAGCGCAGCCACTGGGGTCTTCATGATTCGCCCTCCCCTTTTCTCATCTCGTCTTGCTAGCTGCCAGTCTCCAACTCAGCCCTTTCTTCATTCATTGAACAAATACTACTTATATACTCTTCTAGTGGGCAAAAAAAGGAACCTTGCTCTTGTGGAACTTCTGCCTTTTCTCTCTACAATGTTCATACGTAATAAGTATTATTTATTTATTTATTTTTATTTTTATTTTTTTTGAGACGGAGTCCTGCTCTGTCACCCAGGCTGGAGTGCAGTGGCGTGATCTCACTGCAACCTCCACCTCCTGGGTTCAAGCGATTCTCCTGCCTCAGCCTCCTGAGTAGCTGGGACTACAGGCACGCACCACCAAGCCCGGATAATTTTTGTATTTTTAGTAGAGACGGGGTTTCGCCATGTTGGCCAGGATGGTCTCGATCTCCTGACCTCGTGATCCGCCCACCTCGGCCTCCCAAAGGGCTGGGACAGGCGTGAGCCACCGCGCCCCGCCAGTATTTAGTATTTTTAAAGGTAATAAGTAAGGACTATGGAAACAGAGAAAGAATGGGGCGGAGACAGCAGTGCGGTTGGTGTGGACATCCTAAGAAGGTGGGAGAGATTCGAGCAAAGGCTTGAAGAAGGAAGTGAAGGGTGTAGCTGAGCAGGCTTTGGGAGGAAGAGCATTTCAGGTAGAACAGCTAGAGCGAAGTTCCCATAAGGTGGGAGTATTTCCTAGGTACAGCAAGGCTTGTGTGGTTGGAACAGACTTTGCAAGGGGGAGGTGATGGGGCGAGAGGCTTCACTCCCTTATTTTTTCTTGTCTGACAGATTCCGGGACCCCAAATCCCAGCGGACGCACCAGGCTCAGGTGGCGTTCCAGGTGTGTGTGCGCCCTGGCTCCTACACCCCGGGACCCCCTTCCGCTGCCCTTGGAGAACCTCCTGACCCTCACTTCAGTCCAGCCGAACTTGAGTGGGTCACTAAGGAGAAGGGGGCCACACTCCTCTGTGCCCTGCTGGTACGGGTGGAATGAGGGGTGAGACACCACTACTACAAGCACAGTCGGGCCGCGGGCCCATGGACTCTGAGTGGCGACTGCCTCCACCTCATTCCCGTGACTCGTGGCATGCGCAGGTGCTGGAGCTTGGCAGCCGCGCAGGAGCATGTAGGCAGGCTCTCAGATGTAGGTGGCAAGTGGCACAGCTCCATGTCCGGAGGCCCAGCACTCCGTCTGATGGGAGGAGTCGTGGGAGCCCAGCTCCAGGCCCTGGTACCCCTCTTCATGCACTGATTTGGGGAACATGACTCCCTTTTACTCCCCTACCCCACATCACTTAATTTATTTCCGTTTTTGTTTCTGGTTACTGTGAATCCCAGAGGAGTCTCTCCCTGTGCCCACATGAAGCTGCTTTTTCCGGGGCCACCGGGCGGGAGTGGGGAAGGGTGGGCGCACGGAAGATGGGGGCCTCTGTACAGTTGTTACTGACTCTGATTTCTAAGGAGCCAATAAACACCGTCTCAGAGCCTCCGCCTCGGCCTCTCTCTCGCGCGCCCCTCTCCGGAGCCCGCGTCCCCTGGGGTGCCACCAGGTGGGCCCGCGAAATTAAAGAGAGCTGAGGATGCCAAGGCCAGTCTGCAGCCGTCGTCGCTCACGTTCCCGGCGACGGGGTTTGTACGCCGCGGGCACCCGTCGCAGCGCGCTTCCGCCTTCTTTCACCTGTGAGGTCGGCCGCCGCCGTGACTCCGGAAGGACTCGGCCGGGCCGCCGGATGTGACGCAGGGGCCAGGGCGCGTCGGAGCCGCTGAGAAAGCGCAGAGAAGGCGGGTAGGAAGGGCAGTCGTCCGCGCTGGCTGGGCAGGGAGCGGCAGCAGCGAGCCGGGGACCCCGGCGCCGCCCGCGCGCGGTGGGACTGGGGCTGCGGTCCCGGCCGGGTGGCGGGCTCCTGGGACACGTGACCGGGGCGGCGAGCGGGCCGGGCGGACGGGCTTCCGCCTGGGCCGGGCGCGGCCCCCTCTGAGCGCCCGCCTCCCCGCAGGCCCCGTCTGAGGTCTGGCAGTCAGAGACAGCCGGGCGCCCACGGCCCGAGCGCCCACGGCAGCACCATGCCCGCACTCCTGGAGCGCCCCAAGCTTTCCAACGCCATGGCCAGGGCGCTGCACCGGCACATTATGATGGAGCGGGAGCGCAAGCGGCAGGGTGAGCCGGGGCCATAGCAGGGGGACGCACGGCCCAGAATGGCTCCTGTACCTCAAGGCTGGCCTCAACCCACCGGCCAACCAGCGCGCCCGCTGCCGAGCGCAGAGGAGGGAAGGAATAGCCCCGTTGTGGTGGGATTTAAGCGTCCTGTTCCACGCTCCAGAACCCTTGAGATGGGAAGGACCTTGGAGAGCACCTGATAAAGCCTTTCCGTTCCCTATTGCCGCGATGGGGAGCTTGTCCCCTCGAGGCAAAGAGCATACAGGCGTGTTGGGATGACTGGGTTTTGCTGGTCTTCAATCTGTAACGTTGGAATTGTTTTCACTACCCTGCCTCTTCTTCATTCTGCCTGATTCTCCAGAGGAAGAAGAGGTGGATAAGATGATGGAACAGAAGATGAAGGAAGAACAGGAGAGAAGGAAGAAAAAGGAGATGGAAGAGAGAATGTCATTAGAGGAGACCAAGGAACAAGTAAGCAGTCCCTTGAACTTTCCCAGCTTTGATTTCTTCGTTTGACTCTCCCTGCCTTCATCTTCTTTTCCCACCCCATCCCAGATTCTGAAGTTGGAGGAGAAGCTTTTGGCTCTACAGGAAGAGAAGCACCAGCTTTTCCTGCAGCTCAAGAAAGTTTTACATGAGGAAGAAAAACGGAGGCGAAAGGAACAGAGGTGGGATCAGAGTGCTAAAAACTGAAATGGGGGCCAAGTGGAACTGGGATCAGGTAGTAAAAGAACCAGTGTTTAATGGCAAAAGAGAAGGCATCTGTCCTTGACTTTGACCTGTCTTCCTTTCACTCCAGTGACCTGACCACCCTAACATCAGCTGCATACCAGCAGAGCCTGACTGTTCACACAGGAACTCATCTCCTCAGCATGCAGGGTGAGGACTAAAGAAACCACCAGATGGAACCGGCCTTCTTGGAGGTCACAGCCTCCCATTTCAGCATCATGAAGCCCTTCTCCCTTTCTAGGGAGCCCTGGAGGACACAATCGCCCAGGCACCCTCATGGCAGCTGACAGAGCCAAACAAATGTTTGGACCCCAAGTGCTTACGGTGAGAGTAGGATTGGATGCCTAGCCCCTAGTACTTCCATCCATGCATCCTTGCCACCAGTATTCAAGTCACAAACATATCAAGCACTTAAGTTTAGGGGGAAACGGGGCATACAGATACACACAAGTCACTGGGTTTCAGCTTTCAAGGAGTTTGTAGGCGAGTTCTCATTCTCCTTCCTTAGACCCGGCACTACGTGGGCTCAGCAGCTGCTTTTGCAGGGACACCAGAGCATGGACAATTCCAAGGCAGTCCTGGTGGTGCCTATGGGACTGCTCAGCCCCCACCTCACTATGGGCCCACACAGCCAGCTTATAGTCCTAGTCAGCAGCTCAGAGGTGAGTAATAGGAGGGATGGGGCTTGGCCTTCCTCAAGGTCAAAGGAGGAATGCCATTCAGTAAAAGATTTTAATGGCTCTGTCTTTTCCTTTCTCAGCTCCTTCGGCATTCCCTGCAGTGCAGTACCTATCTCAGCCACAGCCACAGCCCTATGCTGTGCATGGCCACTTTCAGCCCACTCAGACAGGTGATAACATCCCATGCAGGAGCTCTAGCTCTCAGGTCCTCCCCTCCCTGTTTCATTCTCATCTCACATGCCCCTCTTCCCCACCTAGGTTTCCTCCAGCCTGGTGGTGCCCTGTCCTTGCAAAAGCAGATGGAACATGCTAACCAGCAGACTGGCTTCTCCGACTCAGTGAGTATGGCACCTTGGGAGGTCAGGGTTAGGGATATGTTAAGGGGAGCTTCAGTATGCCTCAGGCCCTGACTCTGTTCTCTGCAGTCCTCTCTGCGCCCCATGCACCCCCAGGCTCTGCATCCAGCCCCTGGACTCCTTGCTTCCCCCCAGCTCCCTGTGCAGATGCAGCCAGCAGGAAAGGTAAGAATGGTAATAGAATTTACCTGTCAGAATCCCTACACTAGGGATCCGGAAAAGCAGGATTAGGTAGGACAGGTGGCCCACATCATCTGGTTTTTCCTTCCTCTTTGGGGGTGGTTATCAGTAGGGTATTAAGTGGAAGGGAGAGTATGCCCAGTGACAAAGCCCTCTTTTCATCACCACCACCAGTCGGGCTTTGCAGCTACCAGCCAACCTGGCCCTCGGCTCCCCTTCATCCAACACAGCCAGAACCCGCGATTCTACCACAAGTGACCATCAGATTATATCTTCAACACCACACCCCCCACCCCATCGTGGGTGAGGGTATCCCCTGTGTGTCCCAGGCCAATAAAATCTACCTGCCACTGCCCCTGGCTGCTGCTGTTTGTGTTGCCTCCCACCCAACTGTCTGGAATAGGTCAAGGTTGCTTGGAGGGTGGGGGGATGGCTGGCAGGTCCACAGCAAGTCAAAGTGATAGACAGCGGGTTCCAGTGAACTCAGTGGCAGAGTTCAGTCTTTTTGTGGCTTCCAAATACACCCATTTAATTCAAATAAGCAGCTGAGTTGGGGGCTTCATATTAAACTTGTAGTTTTATTCAGGTTTGATTTTAACAAATGTGTCGGGGAGAGAGCCCGCAGGGAAGGGTAAAGCCCATGGGGGCAGGGCCCTCCCAGATGCCTGAGGAGGGGGCAGGTCCCCTCCCCTCTCCTCCTCTTCCCTCCCCATCTAAAGGGGTTTGGGGAGAGACACAGGCAGGCGAGGGGGCTGGTCCCCAGTCTGTTGGGGTGGTGCTCAGGGTAAAGGGCTATAGGCAACAGGGGACCAGACCAGGGATGAGTGGGGAGGGCACAAGGACCATTTGCCAGAATCCACCGCTTTCTGATTCCAGATTGAATTAAAAAAAAAAAAAAAAAAAAGACTAAACCACAAGCAGCACCCACCCCCTTCTCCCCCACCAGGGCTGTAGTGTGAGGGGAGAAGAGGAGGGCAGCTTCACCAAGGCCACAGCTTCGCTCGCTCCTGGCCAAGGGAGCTAGGTGAAGGGCAGGGGCTCCCCGACAGATTGAGGGGGTGGGGAAAACCAAAATAAAACGTCAAATAAATTGTGTAGGAGGAGTCCAGCTTAGGACCGGGCCAGAGCCAGGCCAGGCTCGGGGAGGGGGCCTCTGCAGGTTCAGAGGATCACTGCTGCCACCACCGCCACCCTAGGTAGGAGAGAGAAATTAGTAAGACAGGATAATACCTTCAACAGGAAGGATAGGGAGGACAGAGCCAGGCTAGGGGCAGAAAGTAAGCCTGAAACAATTAAGACTACAGCAGCTCTGCTGAGGACAACAAAATGTGAAGGGGACAGTGAGGGATTTGTCACACTCACCTGGGAGCCAGTTATTTTGCCATGGCCTTGATTGCAACAGCTGCCTCCTCTGTCATGGCAGACAGCACCGTGATCTGGAGAAGCAAGAGGGATAGCCAAGAGATGTCTGAGCTCAGGAAGAAACGTACAGAACAAAGCTGAGCACAGAAGCAGGGAGGGAGGCACCATACCAGGATCTCTTCTCCACAGTCGTACTTCTGCTCAATCTCCTTGCCAAGGTCTCCCTCAGGGAGACGAAGGTCCTCTCGTACCTCCCCGCTGTCCTGGAGCAGTGATAGGTACCCATCCTGGATGCCAATCAGCTGGGGGCAGATAGGGAAGGAGGCTGAAGGTAGTAGGCCCAGGGAGGCTGACATGACAGTAAAGGCTCTGATAGACAAACTGGACTGATAGCAAACTAATACCAAACACCCTCTCCTGCCATTTCCCTCCTCTCTCCCAGCACAAGCTCTCCTGGTCAGTCCCTATCCCCCAACCCCTCCCTCCACCATAAACCGCTAACCCATCCTCATCCAGACCATCTACATACCTGGAAGTCATTCCTTTTGATGTTGGGGACATCCATATTATGAGTTGACGGGCAGATATCTTCATATTTCTTCCCAGTAAAGATGTCAATACCAACCAGATGGACCTGTATGTATGCATCACAAAGAGAAACCCAACCAAACTCTAAAACGGAGGAAATAAAGGCTCAAATTGACCTTGCCTGATGAGGGAAGTCAGAATTACATTGTTGGGGCAAAGACTGGAGTGTTGGAATTGAACCAGTCAACTCAAGAAACAGTAAAGCCTCTTAAAGAAAAAAAACAGAGGCTAAAAAACCACCGTTGAGATTGGGGTTGACAGCACAATAGAAAACTGCATGGCAGGCTTGGAGAAGACAGTTACCTTGATAAAAGATAAGATGCTAAGAGTCTAGGGGAGTGGGAGGAGTCTGAGTAAAAGTTTCGAAGAGTTTTCCGGACACCAGGAGAAGGAGCTGAGAAACTGGGGAATAAGGAAGGTAGAAGGGAAAGGATAAGAAACTAAGAAATGTGAAAGAGCTGAAGAAAAGGACTTGCAGGGAGATCAGAAATAACTATGTAGCTAGAAAATAAGGAAGCCAGAAGAGCACAGAGAGGGATCCAGACACTAGAGAATAATCCAAGATCAATGTCAAGTCAAAAGATGGAAAAACTGATTAAGGAAAAACACCACAAGAAATTCAACAAGAACGAATCAGGTTGAAATTCTAAAGAGACAGGAAAAGTCTGAGGTGATGAGGGAAGTGCTAGCAAGAATGTTAAAACCCATGAAAGCATGGAGGCTCAAGGAACCCAAGGAGAGTGGGATGGGGCAGGTAGGGGCAGTTTGATCCTGCGTCAGAGTTCCAAAGGGAAAGCTAGAACTGGGGAACGAAGCAGCAAGGTGACCTGAAAGCTCAGAATTGACGCAGGAGTCCCTCCAGGGGAAGGCGTAGAATTGGAGAAACCCTGGGCAACGTGATGGAAGCAACCACTTAACAACGGCTCAAGGGAAGAAAGAAAAAGTGAAAACCAAGAATAAGGAAGGAGCAACTGAATAGCTAGAGCATAAAGGCCTATGAATTGAAGAGATTGGCACAAAGCTGGAGAAACGGAGGGACTGCCAGAGAATGATGCGGGGACAGAAGGGTAACCACAGAAGAGGCTGAAGACTGGGGAGCAGGTGTAGTTGTCTGAATGGGTATGAAGGCTGAGCGCTAAACAAAAACAATCAGACAGTAAAAGCAGAGTTAAAGGAAAGTCAGCACTGTTGGCAGCTTGCTGCTGGGAGCGCCAAAGATACTGGAGGCATGGGGAAGGCAAGATGCGGAGGTGAAATTCTAACCTTGGCGTGGCCGTGCTTGCCAGTCTTCGAAGTAGACATCTCGACGATCTTACATGGCCGGCCTTTGAGCACCACAAAGCCATTCTTACGTAATGCTGAGCACTGCATTGGGAAGGTGGCTGAGGCCCCTGCATCTCCTGTCTCGAAGTCCAAGTCATCTGCCATTTTAAGAGGCTTCGATTCCAACTAGAGCCAAGAAGAGAACTGAAGTGAATAAGCATGGAGGTCAACAGGACCTCCAATCTATCCCATTTCTCTCCAGAAACATTTTCCCAACTCTTTATTCCATTACCCACCTAAAATAAAGTCAAAGTTCCTGAACTTAAAATACTGACTGGGCTCAAATATACTCAAGAACTGGTGTGTGTATGGGAGGGTGGAATAGCTGGTTTCTCCCCCATAAATCAAAGCTAAAGTGGTGGCTTGGGAAAGGAAGGCTCTAGGGAGCTGGAATGTCAAATCTCAGAGATGAGAAAAGGCCTACTTCCTGGGAGTGGGGAGGACTCAGGTGTTACTTGCCACTGAAACCAACCACCCCTCTTCCCCACATATAGCCAGGGCTATAATTAGGTGAGCAGCTATGATCCAGCAAAAGGGCAGGGCTAATTGGGGGGGGGGAGGGTGGAGACCGGAGGACAAGGCCCCACCCATCTGTTACACTGCCCCCCCCCATCCACACACAAACCAGTCACTGCTACAGGAAACCACAAGGCCTCTTTGGGGGATTCCCGCCTCGCCAACATGCACTTGCAACAAGCCAAGGGGGAGAAAGCAAAGTTGTTTCCGAAATGATCCCCCTGCCAAACACCTCGATCTTGGTTCCCAAAGAGAACCCAGGAACCCAGCCTCTCCTGGAAGGCCCTCCCACTTTTCCCAGGATGCATCTGTCCTGTCGGCTTTTCAGGCCGGGCCAGTACAGTCAGTAGAAAGTGGGAGAGGTGGGGGGTGGTGAATGACAATAAAATGAAAGCAAAAGGTTGGTAGTAGTGAGTAGTAGAAAATCATACTAGGCTAGTAGAGTTAAGGACTTCGAAACCGTGGAACTCCCAAACCAGTTACAACAGGAAGACAGTGACAAGGTGAAGAACGCCTATCACGGTGGGAAACTCATCTGCCTGAGGCTTTTAGGCGCTGTCCACCCAGGCCGACAGAAAAGTTGGGCTCCTGTCCAAACGCCCTGTTTCCCCATTTCTCCGGCCTCCCAGCTCGAAGGGGTGCCACTTACACCTGGCTGACCGCCACACTTCACAGGAGGGTTTTTCAGGAAAGCTCCTGGGGCCCTTGAGGTTGGGAAGCGCTAACATATGCCTGCAGCAGGCCCTCCGGGGTGATTAGGACCCGAGCCTCCGGCTTCCACTCCTCAAAATCTCAGGCCCCCTCGGAACCCCCGCGAGGACTAGCTCCCCGCGCTAGGGGCTGCCGGCTCCTGCCGACCATGTGGCCGTTCCGGGCTTCCGGTGGCCGGGACCTGGGGGGAGGGGTCCCCGCGCTGCCATGCGGCCCCGGTCCACGCTTGGCCATGCGGCCTGCGACCCCGAGGGCAGCCTCCCGTGGGGGGCACTTCCGGTGCCGCGGCCGCCCCCTCCTCAGAGACTGCGCCAGGCCGGAGCCACGCCGCCTCCCCTCCCCCCGGCCGTCCGCCAACCCCCCCCATCATGCCCTCTCACCGAATAGCCCCCTCCCCCACCTCACGTGGCCGCGCTGAGCCGGGTCCTCAACGGCCCAGGTACCCTTGCCCCGGTGGGCCGATCTGGCCCCTGGCCCTCGCCCCGGCGTGGCCGCCTGGCGGCCTCTCCCGCGTGGCTGCCTCGCGGCTCGCCGTCCCCCGCCCTGCGTCGCTCCAACGTCACCGGGCCAACCCCAACCGTCACCCCGCGCGCCAACCGGGGCGCGCGCCCGCGCCTCTCCTCACCTCGCGCCGCTCTCTGGCCGAACCCGTGCGGCGGCGGCCGCCGCTCCCCTCTGCCCCCTCCCCGACCCCCGCGCAGTTCCATCTTCTCCCGGGCCCAAGCCAAGGTACCGCGCACACGCGCCCTGCCCGCTCTCACCTCGCGCGAACGCACTGACTCGACCCCGTCCGCTCGCCGCGAGCCCAACCGCTGCCTCCGAGCCCGCTGCCGCCGCCGCCGCCGCCTCTACCGCCGCCGCCGCTGCTGCACACGGGTCTTAGTACGCAGGCGCCGACTCCCCACTGACCAACCAAGCAGCCCTATGACAGCCGCGCAAGCGTGCTATCTATCTCCTCCGCCCTCCACCCCCGCACTGCGCAAGCGCACACACCCTACCCATCTCCACCCTCCCTCCCACCGACCCGTCCAATGACGCGCATACGTGACCCCGCCCCTCACAAACCCTGAGCGTTTTCAACTAATCTGCAACGCGCAGGCGCACCCGGTTTTTTAATCTCTTCAACCTCATCTTCCCTCCCCTTGATAGACCGCTCGTCCTACCGGGCAGTCCTTGCGCCTGCGCAATAAGGAGCCCTGCACTCCACACCCTCTAAAGGAAACGCCTGGGTCTCAGAACGCATGCGTGTTCGGAATCCTAAACAACCCCTTCCACCTCAGACGCCGTCAGTACGCCAGGCGTTGAAAAGACCACGCCGCTAGATCACTTGTCTCGTCTAGAACGCATGCGTCTCAGGATACGCCCCACCTCGGCTTTAACTGGACTTAAACGACTCACACGTTTCAGAAAACTTGCTCTGTGGGGTGGGCGCCTTGTCTTGGAATCAGTCCCCCCAGTTCCACACATGCGCGGGAGATGTCTTTCCGCCCCACTCTTCTAGCGCGCTAGTGTGGTCGGGTTCCCACCCATCTCGGCTTCACTTCTCTAAATCGAATGCCTATGCTCTGCCATAGAGTTCACCCGAGAAGATAGAGCGGTCCTGCGGCGGACACCATCTTCTTTAAACCCTCAGTCCGTATTGGTCTCTATGGCATCCATAGAGGCCATTCGGCTCTGAGGTCCTCAGTAAAGAAACTTAGATGGTATTACTGTGTTTTCCCCAACTGTGCTCTGCGGTTCCCCAAAGTATTGTCTACGAGGTCCCTTAGAAAAAATTGTCTATAAAAATGAGTGGTGGGCCGGGCGCGGTGGCTGACACCTGTAATCTCAGCACTCTGGGAGGCCGAGGCGGGCGGATCACCTGAGGTCGGGAGTTCGAGACCAGCCTGACCAACATGGAGAAACCCCGTCTCTACTAAAAATACAAAATTAGCCGGGCGTGGCGGCGCATGCCTGTAATCCCAGCTACTCGGGAGGCTGGGACAGGAGAATCGCTTCTCCTGTGGAGGTTGCCGTGAGCCGAGATTGCGCCATTGCACTCCAGCCTGGGTAACAAGAGCGAAACTCAAGTCTCAAAAACATAAATAAATAATACATAAATAAAATAAAATAGTGGTAGGCCGGGAGCGGTGGCTCACGCCTGTAATCCCAGCACTTTGGGAGGCCGAGGCGGGCGGATCACAAGGTCAGGAGTTCAAGACCAGCCTGGCCAACGTAGTGAAACCCCCGTCTCTACTGAAAATACAAAAAAATTAGCCGGGCGTGGAGGTGGGCGCCTGTACCAGCTACTCGGGAGGCAGAGGCAGGAGAATCGCTTGAACCCAGGAGGCGGAGGTTGCAGTTAGCCGACATCGCACCACTGCACTCCAGCCTAGGAGACACAGCGAGAGACTCTGTCTCAAAAAAAAAAAAAAAAAAAAAAAAGTGGTATGTTAGATTACATTGACATTGTCTTAATCATAGGAGACCATGAAGCTGGAGACGAGCTATCTTCCCAACTTTATTTTCTTTGCCCTCCCTCTCTCCGCCCCCCATTTCGCTTTTCCTGAAACTTCGTAGTCTTCTTCCAATTCCTGGGTTTCTTGCACTACCTTCATGGCTGCCTTGTTGGATAACAAGACTGAAACAAGCGGCCAGGCGCAGTGGCTCACACCTGTAATCCCAGCACTTTGGGAGGCCAAGGCGAGCAGATCACTTGGGTCAGGAGTTCCAGACCAACCTGGCCAACATGGTGAAACCCCGTCCCCACTAAAAATACAAAAATTAGCCGTGCCGTGGTGGTGCGTGCCTGTAATCCCAGCTACTCGGGAGGCTGAGGCAGGAGAATCGCTTGAACCCAGAATGTGGAGATTGCAGTGAGCCGAGATCTCGCCAATGCACTCCAGCCTGCACGACAGAGCAATACGCCATCTCAAAAAAAAAAAAAAAAAAAAAAAGACAGAAACAAGCGACCAAAGATCTTGGGATCTCATCCTTCTTTTGTGTCTTTAAGGAATTACTTCAGATAGCTCTGCCTTAATTTTCTTCCCATAAAATGAGAATAATAATGATGCCTGAACTTCCCAATTTTTCAGGACGTTGCAAAAATTCTGCAACATGGGTTGGGCATAGTGGCTCATACCTGTAGTCTTAGCTTTTTGGGAGGTCAAGGTGGGAGGCTCCCGTGAGGCTAGCAGTTACAGACCAGACTGGGCAACATAACAACGGCCCATCTCTACAAATAAAAAATTAAAAAAACAAAAACAAGAAAAGCTCAGCTCAGTGGCTGGTGCCTGTAGACCTAGCTACTCTTTCTTGGGAGGCTGAGGTGGAGGGATAGCTTGAGTCTAGGAGTTCGAGGCTTCATTGAGCTATAATCCCCACCACTGCACTTGAGCCTGGGCAACAGAGAACCTGTTTCTTAAAAAAGAAAAAAAAAAAGTCTTGTGACACGATACATGTGAACTGCAAACACTAGATTGAATTACTACATTTGTGTAGCCTGTTATGCTAACCCCCAGCTACTTCCCCTCAATTTTCTGAAATTCATGCCCTTTCCTTTGTAAAAAAAAAAAACAAAAACAAAAACAAAAAAACGCAAACAACTTTGTGAGTACATTGTTCAAAAGTCCAACACCTGCTTTTCTCAAAGCAAAGTATGTATTGTTCATGTGACCCAGCAATTCCACTCCAACGTATATATACTCCCAATGAATTAAAAACAGGTACTCAAAGAAAATCCGGGCCGGGTGCGGTGGCTCACGCCTGTAATCCCAGCACTTTGGGAGGCCGAGGCGGGCGGCTCATGAGGTCGGGAGATGGAGACCATCCTGGCTAACACGGTGACACCCCGCCTCTACTAAAAATAAAAAAATTAGCCGGGCCTGGTTGTGGGCGCCTGTAATCCCAGCTATTTGGGAGGCTGAGGCAGGAGAATGGCAAACCTGGGAGGTGGAGCTTGCAGTGAGCTGAGATCTCGCCACTGCACTCCAGCCTGGGCAACAGAGCAAGACTCCATCTCAAAAAAAAAAAAAAGCAAATCCGGGCATGTGAGTGTTCATTAGCAGCAGTTATTCACAGTAGCAAAAAAGGTGGAAAGAACCCAAATGTCTGTCAATAGATGAATGGATTTTTAAAATGTGGTATATCTATACAGTGGAATATTATTTAGCCATAAAAAGAGATGAAGTACGTGCTATAACTGGATGAATATTGGAAAACATTATGCTAAGTGAAAAAAGTCAAGATGCAAAAGGTCACATATTCTATGATTCCACTCTTAGAAAACATCTAGAATAGCCGGGCGCAGTGGCTCACGCCTGCAATCCCAACACTTTGGGAGGCTGAGACGGGTGGATCACCTGAGGTCGGGAGTTTGAGACCAGCCTGACCAACATGGAGAAACCCCATCTCTACTAAAAATACAAAATTAGCCTAGTGTGGTGGCGCATGCCTGTAATCCCAGCTACTCAGGAGGCTGAGGCAGGAGAATAGCTTGAAGCAGAGGTTGCAATGAGCCGAGATCATGCCGTTGTGCTCCAGCCTGGGCAACAAGAGCAAAACTCCATCACACACACACAAAAATTAACCAGGCGTGGTCATATGTACATGTAGTCCCAGCTACTGGGGAGGCTGAAGCAGGAGGAT
The DNA here is from genome assembly GCF_000001405.40 of Homo sapiens. Lineage (NCBI taxonomy): Eukaryota > Metazoa > Chordata > Mammalia > Primates > Hominidae > Homo > Homo sapiens. The sequence goes on along the minus strand of NW_021160020.1, from coordinate 62,252 downwards.
TGCCTGAGCTTAGGAGTTCAAGGCTGTAGTGAGCTGTGATCACACCACTGCACTCCAGCCTGGGTAACAGAGTAAAACCCTGTCAAAAAAAAAAAAAGAAGAAAAGAAAAAAACAGAAATGTTGTACATAAATGTTCAAAGCAACATTATTACTTTTTTTTTTTTTTGAGACGGATTCTTGCCCTGTCACTCGAGCTGGAGTGCAGTGGCACGATCTAGCTCACTGCAACCTCCGCCTCTCGGGTTCAAGCGATTCTCCTGCCTCGGCCTCCTGAGTAGCTGGGATTACAGGCACCTGCCACCACGCCTGGCTAATTTGTCTATTTTTAGTAGAGACGGGGTTTCATCATCTTGGCTAGGCTGATCTTGAACTCCTGACCTCGTGATGCACCCTCCTCGGCCTCCCGAAGTGCTGGGATTACAGGCGTGAGCCACCACACTTAGCCTGACCTTCTTTCTAATTTATATATTGAGCATTTCTCTTCTGTTCACATAGAAGTTTCCTTCTTGGGCCGGGCGCGGTGGCTCACGCCTGTAAACCCAGCACTTTGGGAGGCCGAGGTGGGCGAATCACAAGGTCAGGAGATCGAGACCATCCTGGCTAACACGGTGAAACCCCATTTCTACTAAAAATACAAAAAATTAGCCGGGCGTGGTGGCATGTGCCAGTAGTTCCAGCTACTCGGGCAGTAGTTACAGCTACTCAGGAGGCTGAGGCAGGAGAATCACTTGAACCCAGGAGGCGGAGGTTGCAGTGAGCTGAGATCGCACCACTGCACTCCAGCCTGGGCGACTCTGTCTCAAAAAAAAAAAAAAAAAGAAGTTTCCTCCTTGAGAAATAATTCGGCCGGGCAAGGTGGCTCACGCCTATAATCCCAGCACTTTGGGAGGCTGAGGCAGGTGGATCACAAGGTCAGGAGTTCAAAACCAGCCTGGCCAAAATGGTGAAACCCCATCTCTACTAAAAATACAAAAATTAGCTAGGCGCAGTGGCAGGTGCCTGTAATCCCAGCTACACAGGAGGCTGAGGCAGGAGAATTGCTTGAACTCGGGCTTCAGAGGTTGCAGAGAGCCAAGATCCTACCACTGCACTCAGGCCAGCCTGGGCGACAGAGTGAGACTCCACCTCAAAAAAAAAAAGAAAAGAAAACAAACAAACAAAAAAATTAGCCAGGTGTGGTGGCGCATGCCTGTAATCTCAGCTGCTAGGGAGGCTCAAAAAAAAAAAAAAAACACACACAAAACAAAACAGAGAGAAATGATTCGGCCAGGCACGGTGGCTCACACCGGTAATCCCAGCACTTTGGGAGGTCGAGGTGGGCAGATCACCTGAGGTCGGGAGTTTGAGACCAGCCTGGCCAATATGGCAAAACCCCGTCTCTACTAAAAATACAAAAATTAGCCAGGCATGGTGGCACATGCCTGTAATCCCAGCTACTCAGGAGGCTGAGGCAGGAGAACTGCTTGAACCCGGGAGGCGGAGGTTGCAGTGAGCTGAGCTTGTGCCATTGCACTCCAGCCTGGGCAACAAGAGAGAAACTCTGTCTTTAAAAAAAAAAAAAGAAAGAAAGAAAGAAGGGAGGGAGGGAGGGACGATGGAGGGAGGGAGGGAAGGGAGGGCGGGCCGGGCGCTGTGGCTCATGCCTGTAATCCCAGCGCTTTGGGAGGCTGAGGCAGGTGGATCATCTGAGGTCAGGAGTTCGAGACCAGCCTGGCCAACATGGAGAAACCCCGTCTCTACTAAAAATACAAAATTAGCTGGGCATGGTGGTACATGCCTGTAATCTCAGCTACTCGGAAGACTGAGGCAGGAGAATCAACCCGGTAGGCGGAGGTTGCGGTGAGCCGAGATCGCACCATTGCACTCCAGCCTGGGCAACAAGAGCGAAACTTCATCAAAAAAAAAAAAAAAAAAGAAAAGAAAGAAAGAGAGAGAGAAAGAGAAAGAAAGAAAGAGAAAAGAAAAAATTCAAACACAATTGATCGGGTTCTAGCTTGTCTTAAAGACATACACATTTATTTCCTACTTCCTTGTGGCTACACCCACTTACCATGATTAGAATTCAGATATTATTGAAAACTGCCAGGCATAGTTGCTCATGCCTATAATCTCAGCTATTCTGGAGGCTGAGGCAGGAGGATTGCTTCAGGCCTGAAGTTCAAGACCAGCCTGAGCAACAGGACTCTCGCTCTGTTACCCAGGCTGGAGTGCAGTGGTGCAATCTTGGGTCACTGCAACCTCTGCCTCCCAGGTTCAAATGATTCTCCTGCCTCAGCCTCCTGAGTAGCTGGGATTACAGGCGTGCACCACCACGCCCAGCTAATTTTTGTATTTTTAGTAGAGACAGGGTTTCACCATGTAGATCAGGCTGGTCTCAAACTCCTGACCTCTGATGGTCTGCCCGCCTTGGCCTTCCAAAGTGCTGGGATTACAGGCATGAGCCACTGCACCCGGCCTGCCACAGGGATCTTGTATGTCTAATTCACTACGATACCTTAGCACGTTTTAGCACCTGGCACACAGTAGGTGCTCAATAAATGTTTGTTGAAGAAATAAAGGAATATGCATATTTTATTGTAAACTATGTGAAATATTTTCAGAAGGTGACCCACGCAGTTGCTAACCAGCACTGAGATTATCATGGTAGTTACTGGTGCACTTGTCTCCCAGTCCAGATGGTCAGAGGAAAGCACTCAAGAAATCTCAGTGAAATTAATTCAAATAAGAAACGATTTCTGAAACTTTTAGAACAGAAGATTTAGTATCCTGAGTACTGAGATTTACAGAGATGGTTGAAGCCAGGCACGGTGGCTCATGCCTATAATCCTAATACTTTGGGAGGCGAGGGTGGGTGGATCACTTGAGCCCGGGAGCTGGACACCAGCCTGGGCAACATGGTGAAACCTGTCTCTACCAAAACTAGAAAAATTAACTGGGGGTAGTGGTGTAAACCTGTAGTCCCAGCTACTCCAGAGGCTGAGGTGGGAGGATCATGTGAGCCTGGGAAGGTCAGGGCTGCAGTGAGCCGTGATTGTGCCACTGCACTCCAGCCTGAGCGACAGAATGAGACCCTGTCTCAAAAAAAATAAAAATAAAAAATAGAGTTGGTTGAATAGTAGTGCTGTTTGCTAGACCTTTGAGGGCAGAAATGTTCTCTATTTGTGCTAATACAGTATCCAAGAGCCTCATATGGCTATTGAGCTTTTGAAATGTGGCTGGTGAGACTTAGGAACTGAATTTTAAATTTTATTTTAATTAAACTGAAATAGCCACATGTAGCAATGTCAGCAAGACTGGTCAGGAGGCAGTGCTTGAGACCTGGGTGGGTAGGGTGGCAGTGGGTTAGATCTTGGGCCTTTAGATTTAAGCTAAAGGGCTTGAGCTTCACCTATGAGTTTTCAATGGGAAGTCACTGGAGAGTTTTAAGCAGGATAGAACATTTCATTCATTCCTACGTTTGCTTGATTTTTTGCTTTTTTAACACCCCCAACCCCATTTACTTCCCTGCTCCTCCACAAGCAATTACAATGTTGCACGTCTTTTGGTTTTGATATACTCTGAGAGACATGGTTTGTTGTTTGTGGGAATGATTCTTTTTATGTATGTCATATCATTGTATATGTTTTTTTGCTTTTTTTTTGAGACAGGGTCTGGCTGTGTCACCCAGGCTGGAGTGCAGTGGCAGGATCATAGCTCACTGCAGCCTTGACCTCCCAGGCCCAAGCAATCTTCCCACCTCAGCCCCTCCCAAGTAGCTGGGACTACAGCTGTGTGCCACCATGCCTGGGTAATTTTTTAAATTATTTGTTGAGACGGAGTTTCCCTATGTTGCCCAGGCGGGTTTCAAACTCCTGGCTGCAAACAATCATCCCACCTCGGCCTCCCAAAGTGCTGGGATTATAAGTGTGAGCCACCGCCCCCAGCCTGTTGTATATGTCTCATCCTGTTTCTTACCCTTTTTCTCTAAGCAATGTGTTTTTAAGATGCATCCTGGCGGCCGGGCGCACTGGCTCATGCCTGTAATCCCAGCACTTTGGGAGGCCAAGGCGGGCGGATCATGAGGTCAGGAGTTCGAGACCAGCCTAGCCAACACGGTGAAATCCCATCTCTACTAAAAATACCAAAAAAAATTAGCCAGGCGTGGTGGTGGCACCTGTAATCCCAGCTACTCGGGAGGCTGAGGCAGCAGAATGGCGTGAACCTGGGAGGTGGAGCTTGTAGTGAGCGGAGATTGCGCCACTGCACTCCAGCCTGGGCAACAGAGCAAGACTCCATCTTAAAAAAAAAATAATTAAAAAATTAGCCGGGCACGGTGGTTCACGCCTATAATCCCAACACTTTGGGAAGCCAAGATGGGTGGATTGCTTGAGGTCAGGAGTTTGAGACCAGCCTGGCCAACATGGTGAAACCCCGTCTCTACTAAAAATACAAAAATTAGTCAGGCATGGTGGCATGAGCCTGTAGTCGGATCACTTGAGGTGAGGAGGCTGAGGTGGGAGGATCACTTGAGCACAGGAGGTCAAGACTGGAGTGACCCCTGGTCATGCCACTGCACCCCAGCTGGGGTGACAGAGCAAGACCATGTCTGGAAAAAAAAAAGTTCAGTGCCATATTATTTGTTGTGGTTGAGAATTGGAGGTGCCATGGGTGCTCCTCAGTGGAACTGTGAGCAGGTAAAATGTGGCACAACTCATACTGCAGAGCATGGCGCAGCAATAGCTTTGATCATCATAGAGCATGGGTGGATTTTAACCACATAGTACTAACTGCAAATAAGATCAGAACGAAATCTATAACAAGATGTTATTTAGGGAAATTGAAAATGCACACAAAAACATACAGCAGATAAGACAAGGAGGTAGAGGCTGGAGAAAATGTCAAGGCTTTGACAGAGTGCTAGCCCAGCCTGCAAAGAGGGAAGGACAGTGGAAAGAGCAGCTAAAGAATAAATGTGTGGCCAAGCGCAGTGGCTCACGCCTGTAATCCCAGCATTTTGGGAGGCCGAGGTGGGCAGATCACTTGAGGTCAGGAGTTTAAAGCCAGCCTGGCCAACATGGCGAAACCCCATCTCTACTAAAGATACAAAAATTAGCCAGGCATGGTGGTGCACACCTGTAATCCCAGCTACTTGCGAGGCTGAGGCAAGAGAATCACTTGAACCCAGGAGGCAGAGGTTGCAGTGAGCCAAAGTGCGCCACTGCACTCCAGCCTGGGCAACAAGAGCAAAACTCTGTCTCAATCAATCAATCAATAAATGTGCCAGCCGGGCGCGGTGGCTCACGCCTGTAATCCCAGCACTTTGGGAGGCCGAGGCGGGCGGATCACGAGGTCAGGAGATCAAGACCATCCTGGCTAACACAGTGAAACCCCGTCTCTACTAAAAATACAAAAAATTAGCTGGGCGTGGTGGCGGCGGGCGCCTGTAGTCCCAGCTACTCGGGAGGCTGAGGCAGGAGAATGGCGTGAACCCGGGAGGCAGAGCTTGCAGTGAGCCAAGATCGCGCCACTGCACTCCAGCCTGGGTGACAGAGAGAGACTCCGTCTCAAAAATAAATAAATAAATAAATAAATAAATAAATAAATAAATAAATAAATAAATGTGAGAGGATAAGATGGACAGTGTGGGTATGAAACACTGTTGCTGTTGGGAAATAAGAGAGTAGTTATTAGGACAGAGAAGAGGTAAACTCTGATTTGGGCTGCAACAAAAAAGTTGGAGTGAAAAGTTTCTGGGAGTAGATGGCACCAGGGGATAGAGGTGACATCATCTTTTCTTTTGTTTCTTTCTTTCTTTCTTTTTTTTTTTTTTTTTTTTGAGACGGAGTCTCGCTCTGTTGCCCAGGCTACAGTGCAGTGGTGTGAAGAGGGCCCACCACAGCTTGGACTTCCCAGGCTCAAGTGATCCTCCTAACTCAGCCTCCTGAGTAGCTAGGGTGCACCACCACATCTGGCTAATTTTTTTTTTTAAGTTTTTGTAGAGACAGGGTCTTGCTATGTTGCCCAGGCTAATCTCAAACTCTTGGGCTCAAGCGATCCTCCCACCTTGGCCTCCAAAAGTCTTGGGATTACAGGCATGAGCCACCGCACTCAGCTGACACCATTTTTTCAATCGTTCAAATATTATCTCAGTTTGATCACACAAATCTTCACCTTTATTGTGCTAATCCTGGGCCTCCAGGGAGACTGTTCTACGCAAAATGACTGTGGATAAGTGGTGATGACGTAAACTCAGTGAGGAGGGAGAACGGAGGGAGGAAAAAGAGAAGCTTAGACTTGGATGCATCAAATTCCAGAAGCCTGAGGAGCTGTTGGCTGGAGAGACTCCCTGACTTGGGCATCTGGCAGAAGGTGGGAGGGACTCAGGAGTGGAGACACAAATTTGAGAGCCATCAGAAAGTGGTCACCGAAGCCAGGGAAATGGATAGAACAATCTAAAGAAGGGTTGTCTGGGTGCGATGGCTCACATCTATAATCCTGGCAGTTTGGGAGGCCGAGGTGGGTGATCACTTGAGGTCAGGAGTTCGAGACCAGCCTGGCCATCATGGTGAAACTCCATCTCTACTAAAAATACAAAAATTAGCTGGGCGTGCCTGAAATCCCAGCTACTCTATCTCAGGAGGCCGAGGCAGGAAATTCACTTGAACACGGGAGGCAGAGGTTGCAGTGGGCTGAGATCGTGCCACTGCACTCCAGCCTGGGTGACAGAGTGAGACTGTATCTCAAAAAAACAAAAAAAAAGAGAAGACAGGAAAACATGGCCTAGGAAACAGTGGGGTTGGAGAAGGAGAACAAGCATAACAGGAGAGGTGTGAGGTGACAGGGAAGGTTGGGTTGTGGAAGCTGTGGCAGGAACACTTCATTTGACGGAGTCCAAAGGGAACCAAAGCCATCCACTGCACGTCTCAACTGAGAAGGGACAGTGGGGCATTGCTGAAGCTGTCGCAGTGGAGTGATGGGGCAGAAACCAGATTTGGGTTGGTGGGTTGTGAAAGAAAGTTGAAGTAAACACAGCAAAGACTGGTTTCAGGAAATTTGTTGTTCAAACAATGGAGAGGTACAGGGCAATAGTCGAGAAAGCAGGATTTTGTTTTGTTTTGTTTTCTTTTTTGAGACGCAATTTCACTCTTATTGCCCAGGCTGGAATGCAATGGCATGATCTCGGCTCACTGCAACCTCCGCCTCCCGGATTCAAGCAATTCTCCTGCCTCAGCATCCCCAGTAGCTGGGATTACAGGCATGTGCCACCATGCCCGGCTAAATTTTTATATTTTTATTAGAGGCGGGGTTTCACCATGTTGATCAGGCTGGTTTTGAACTCCTGACCTCAAGTGATCCTCCCACCTTGGCCTCCCAAAGTGCTGGGATTACAGGCGTTAGCCACCACGCCCGGCCTGTTTTTTATTTCTATTTTTGAGACAGGGTGTCACTCTGTCACTCAGGCTAAACTGCAGGGGCACAATCACCACTCACTGCAGCCCTGACCTCCTAGGCTCAAGCAATCCTCCCACCTCAGCCTCCCAGGTAGCTGGGACTACAGGTGCATGTCACCATCTTCAGTTAATTTTTGTATTTTTTGAAAAGACGGGGTCTCATTATGTTGCCCAGGCTGGTCTTGAACTCCTGAGCTCAAGCAATTCTCCTGCCTTGGCCTCCCAAAGTGCTGAGATTACAAACATGAGCCACTGCACCCAGCCTGTTTTTGTTTTTAAGTAATGAACAAAACAGTCAGGTAAAGAACACTTCAGGTGAGCAGGAACTAATGGAAAGGAAGCGACAGAAAAAGAAGGAAGCCTTTTCACTAGAATTCCTGGAGCCCTTGTTATCTATAGTACTTAAAAATATTTAAATAACCAGAAAATTATGGCCAGGCTTGGTGGCTCACACCTGTAATCCCAGCACTTTGGAAGGCCAAGGTGGGCAATGGCTTGAGCCCAGGAGTTCACTAGGGTGAAACCCCCTCTCTACAAAAAGTTCAAAAAAATTATCCGGGCATGGTGGCATGTGCCTGTAGTCCCAGCTCAGGAGTGGGCCAGTTAACTACAGGTGGGAGGTTGAGATGGGAGGATCACTTGAGCCTTCAAGGTGGAGGCTGTAGTGAGCTGAGATTGTGCCACTGCACTCCAGCCTGGGTGACAGAGTGGGACCCTGTCTCAAAAAAGAAAAAGAAAGGCTGGGCGCAGTGGCTCACGCCTGTAATCCCAGCACTTTGGGAGGCTGAGGCGGTCAGATCACGAGGTCAGGAGATCGAGACCATCCTGGCGAACACTGTGAAACCCCGTCTCTACTAAAAATACAAAAGAATTAGCCAGGCATAGTGGCAGGCGCCTGTAGTCCCAGCTACTGGGGAGGCTGAGGCAGGAGGATGGCATGAAGCCGGGGGGTGGAGCTTGCAGTGAGCGGAGATAGCGCCACTGGATTCCAGCCTGGACAACAGGGCAAGACTCCATCTCAGAAAAAAAAAAAGAAAAAGAAAATTACATGCACAAATCCTTCAACTGAAGAGGACAATGAGCTGCATCGCTCCGTGGTATCTGCGAATTCTCCTCCATGGGGATGGAGAGCACATAGCTGTTGAGCTGTTGCCAGTGTAGCTGTTGTTTCAACAGCCAGGAGTACATTTCCCTGCAATGCTCCCACCTCTGGTCTCCTCACATCCTCACATTTTCTCTTCTTTTCTTTTCTTTCTTTTTTATTTTTTTGAGACGGAGTCTCGCACCGTCGCCCAGGCTGGAGTGCAGTGGCGCGATCTCAGCTCACTGCAAGCTCCGTCTCCTGGGTTCACGCCATCCTCCTGCCTCAGCCTCCCGAGTAGCTGGGACTCCAGGCACTTGCCACCACGCCCAGCTAATTTTTTGTATTTGTAGTAGAGACGGGGTTTCACCATGTTAGCCAGGATGGTCTGGATCTCCTGACCTCGGCCTCCCAAATTGCTGGGATTACAGGTGTGAACCACCGCGCCTGGCCACTTTTTTTTTTTTTTTTTTGGCAGAGTCTCACTCTGTTGCCCAGGCTGAAGTGCAGTGGCGCAATCTCAGATCACTGAAATCACTGCAACCTTTGCCTCCCGGGTTCAAGCGATTCTCCTGCCTCAGCCTCCTGAGTAGCTGGGATTACAGGCGCGCACCACCATGCCGGGCTAATTTTTTTTTTTTTTTTTGAGAGGGCATCTGGCTCTGTCGCCTAGGCTAGAGTGCAGTGGCGCTATCTCGGCTCACTGCAAGCTCCGCCTCCCGGGTTCACGCCATTCTCCTGCCTCAGCCTCCCCAGTAGCTGGGACTACAGGCGCCCGCCACAACACCCGGCTAATTTTTTGTATATATATATATATTTTTTTAATAAAGACGGGTTTTCACCGTGTCAGGATGGTCTCGATCTCCTGACATCGTGATCCGCCCGTCTCGGCCTCCCAAAGTGCTGGGATTACAGGCGTGAGCCACCGCACCCGGCCAATTTTCTGTATTTTGTAGTAGAGATGCAGTTTCACCATATTAGCCAGGCTGGTCTCGAAGTCCTGACCACAGGTGACCCACCGGCCTCCTCATCCCAAAGTGCTGGGATTACAGGAGTGAACCACCGCGCCCGCCCCATTTTCTTTTTCTTTCTTTCTTTCTTTTTTTTTTTTTTTTTTTGAGGCGGAGTTTCGCTCCTGTTGCCCAAACTGGAGTGCAATGGCATGATCTTGGCTCACTGCAGCCTCAGCCTTCTGGGTTCAAGCGATTCTCCTGCTTCAGCCTCCCAGGCAGCTGGGATTACAGGTACACGCCACCACGCCCGGCTAATTTTTTGTATTTTTAGTAGAAATGGGGTTTCACCATGTTAGCCAGGCTGGTCCCGAACTCCTGACCTCAGGTGATCCACCCACCTCAGCCTCCCAAAATGCTGGGATTACAGGTGTGAGCCACCACATCTGGCCATTTTCTTAATCTTACTACAAAAAGGTTCAGCTTCCCTTCCTAGGTCCTCTCTTCTCACCCTCCAGCCTGTAGCTAACGGGCCCACTCCTGAGCTCCGCCTTCCATGTGATTCTTTTGCTGCAGCGGTCACACTGTGAGGTTTCTTGCCTGCCTTCCCCAGTCTTGGTCTTAGGCTTCTCCAATTTCTTGAGCTCAGGGCTAGGCACGGGTAAGTCGGTCCTTAACAGTCTAAGGCCAGTGGTCATTCTTGTATGCTTCACGGCCTCGTCTTGCTACTTAGTTGTTTTCTTGTCTCTTCTCTTTTTCTGTCCACTGTGCCCGATGCCCCGGAAATCCGAATCTTCAACTCTGAAAGGGCCGGAGGGGTGCGGCGGGCGATAGATAGCAAGTGGAGGGTCAGCGAGGAAGCGGAATCCGGCGGCCTCCGGGAGCGGCCGGCAGAGGGCGCGCCGGGACCGGGAGAGGCGACTGCGGCTGCTGCGGGCAGCTGGCGGCGAAGGAGACGCGGAGGACGCCAGCCCTTGGGAAGCGCACGTGGGGCTTGCCCAGCAGCGCCTGGGGGCACGTGTGCTGCCCCGGGGCGCGCTGCCCTGGCTAAAAATACAACGCGCACCCGCGTCCTCCCTGGTGGGGGAGGCGGCCCTAGGGAGGAGATACTGCTGGAGCCTCGTTTTTCTGGGATTACAGGCGTGAGCCACCGCGCCCGGCCCATTTTCTTAATCTTCCCAGGCTCCCGAGAAACCTGGTACAAGCCTCGCACTGCCCCTCAGTCCTCTCATCTGTGGAATGGGGGCCGTTCATGTATTCGATAAATATTGAACGTGTACGTTGTACCAGGCACTGCTGCAGGCGTCCAGCTTAACTACAAGGCTCTTACTGCTGTGGAGTTTACAGCCCACTGTGTGCAGGGAAATAAAATAAGCAAATGGTCAGGATCATGTCATATTTTCAAAAATGCCATTAGAAAAATAAGGAATGGTGTGATGGCGAAGAGTGGCACGTAAGCTGCTGCTTGGAGAGAGCCACCTGGAGACACGAAGGCGCGTTTTCGGCAGAGGAAACCGCATGTGCAAAAGGCCTCGAGTCCGCTGGAGCTTGACGCCTGGCCGGAGACCACAGCCCCCGGCATACAGACGTGAGAGACCCCAAAGCCAGTCTAGGGCGGTAGACATCAGAGCTGCAGCGGTCGGTATGGGCCACATGGGTGGACACATTGATCAAAACTCAGCGAAGGCCGGGCACGGTGGCTTACCCTGTCATCCCAACACTTTGGGAGGCTGAGGCGGGCGGATCACCAGAGGTCAGGAGTTCGAGACCAGCCTGGCCAATATGGTGAAACCCCATCTCTACTAAAAATACAGAAATTAGCCAGGTTGTGGTGGCGCAAGCCTGTAATTCCAGGTACTCAGGAGGCTGAGGAGGGAGAATCGCTTGAACCCGGGAGGCAGAGGCTGCAGTGAGCCCAGATCGCGCACTGCGCTCCAGCCCGGGCGACAGAGGGAGACCTTGTGTCAAAACAAACAAACAAACAAACTCAGCGAAGAAGAATTGCGCATTGTACTACTTGTAAACCTTGTTTCCAATACAAACATAGGTAGGGGCAGGCCGGGAGCCACCTTGAGGTGGCTCAAGGCAGGAGAATCGCTTGAACCAGGGAGGCGGAGGTTGTAGCGAGCCGAGATCGCGCCACTGCACTCTAGTCTGGGCGACAGGGCGAGACCCTGTCTCAAAAAAAAAAAAAAAAAGAAAAGAAAAGAAAAAGAAAGAAAAAAGAAAAGTAGGGGGTCCTGGCTCATGGGAGCAAGTGTGAGCCGGGAAAACCATTCTGCTGCGCTTTCCAGCCTATCCTGCGGTTGGATCCCGCAGCCCCAGGGTGTGCAGGGCCGTCCTGTGGGGAGAGGGTGCCAAGGGCGGTGGTGGCCGGAAGGCGTCTGCACCTGGCAGCATACGGGCAAGGTCGGTCTCGAGGGTGGAGGCGAGCGGTGCTACTCACTGCCAGAACCGAGGCTGCAGATTCCCGCCCCTCGCTCAGGTCGTTAGGGGCAACCTTGGCACTGCGGCCCCGGCCCCGCCCTTCCCGCAGAGGCCAGGTGGCGGTTGGGGCGCGACCGGCCCGTTTGATTTCCCGCGGCCGGTGGAAAGGGGCGGAGGGGGGAGGGGAAAGGGGCCGCCGGCCAATGGGTTGGGCCGGGGGCCGTCACGTGGCGGCCAGGGGGCGGGGCCCAGGTGTACTTACTGGGCGGCTGGCGGGGGCCGGGGCCGCGGTGCGAAGTCCGGGAGGCGGGGTCGGCGTGCGGTCCGGGGGTGCTGCTGGGCTGGGATTGGCCCGTGGTCGGGAGGCGGGGTCTGCGCGAGCGGCGGCAGCGGGCTGCCATTGGCCTCGGCTCCGGGCCCGCTGCCGGCGTGTGGGCGAGGCTCGGGGCGCGAGGACCGAGCAGGGCGGTGGGTTCGCGAGCCGGGGGGAGGGGCCGGGGCGGTGGCGGCTGTGGCCGGTACTGGACCCGGCGGGATGAGCGAGGTGGAGGCGGCAGCGGGGGCTACAGCGGTCCCCGCGGCGACGGTGCCCGCGACGGCGGCAGGGGTGGTAGCGGTGGTGGTACCGGTGCCCGCAGGGGAGCCGCAGAAAGGCGGCGGGGCGGGCGGCGGGGGCGGAGCCGCCTCGGGCCCCGCTGCTGGGACCCCCTCGGCGCCGGGCTCCCGCACCCCTGGCAATCCGGCGACGGCGGTCTCGGGAACCCCCGCCCCCCCGGCCCGGAGTCAGGCGGACAAGCCGGTGCTGGGTGAGGGGCAGGCGCGCACAGGGCGGCTCTGAGGGGTCGGCGGGCTGGGGGAGGGGCAGTGTGGAGCCCGGCAGGATCCGGAAAACCAAAGGCGGCCTGGCCCGCAGGCCCAGAGCGCTAACTGGGCTGGGAGCTGCGCACCAAAGTGGATTCCCCTGGTGGGAAATCCTGCCGTACCTTCCTGGGAGAGAGGGCGGGGCCGGCAGGTTCAGCTAAGGTCTTGGGGTGGAGAATAAAGCCCCAGGGTCCGGCCACGCCCCCGGGCGGGACACAGTGCCTAGTTGACTGGGTTAGAACTAGGCAAACCTCTGAGCCTGGCAAGCAGGTGCACTGGGGACCCTTGCATTGGGAGGGCTAGAAAAACCCTCAGTTATGACCTGGGGGCGGCACTTTGCAGACCAGGTGAGTACCCAGTTCTAGGTGAAGGGGCTGGATTTGTAGGATGTGGGGAACGTGACTTAGAGTTGGAAGGCTTTTTGAAAGCCTGAGTCCCTGTGTGGGTGATTTCATTTGGTGGACTAGGGTAGGAATACCTTGAAGCTACTAGTGAAACCTGGTTGGCTTGAAGGTAACCTGAATAGGTAATAAGGCAGTAGGCTAGATTTTTTTTTGTTTTGGAGTGTCTCAAAACTGAGTTCAACTCCATCTCTTCCCCCCATCTCACTGTCCCCACTGCATCTCTGCCTGGCAGCAATCCAAGTCCTGGGCACTGTCAAATGGTTCAACGTCCGGAATGGTTACGGATTCATCAACAGGTATCCAAGGAACCCAGGGCGGGGGTGGAATGGGTGTCTTCCCAGCTGGCCTGTGGGACTGGACACCCGCCCAACCTCATCGACCCCTGCGGAGGCACATGGTTGCAATGTCCAGCTGATGCTGGTTGAAAGCCTTTAACCGCAGCACAAATGTGTGCTTCGTGACAAGAGGAAGCCTCCTCCGCATCTTCAAGGGTAGCGGAGGATTAATGATTCAGGAACTTGGCAAACCTGGCTCTGACCCTGCCAGCTTCTCATCTCACCTTCTGGAATTGCTTCATTACTTTTACTCTGACATGCCTTTGGGGCAGAATGTATTATAGGGTTCTCTGTGCCTCAGGGCCCCCGGCTGGAATCCTCAACTGATTTCCTGTTATGGCAGCACTCACAACTCAACTCCCTTAAAGAGCTGTGGCTCATTCGAGCCCTCCACCTGTTGGGACTGAGGCTGACAGTGGGGGTCAGGAGGAAGGAGCCAGAGGCTGCTGCTTTCCTTCAGTAGGCAGCCCCACCCCTCAGCACCGGGAGAGGCTGTGGCAGTGGATTCTGAGCAGAGCCAGGTCTCCCCCAGTGGGCCCTTCCCCAGCCCAGGCATCCTGCCCGGCCTGGCTCTCCTGGGAGGCCCTAGTTCCCTCTTAGCAGGCTGACCTTTGTGCAGATCCAAGTGCTTTAAAGCTAAAACGTTTGTTCTGGGGAAGGGTCCCTGTCTAATTCTGGAAATGGCAGACTGGGTCGGGGGCAGAGTGCCTCCAGGAAAACTTTTCCTTTCTCCCCTCCCCCCACCCACTGGGGTTCTTATGATAGAGAATGGGTGAATGTTTTCTTCTCTCTCACCCTTGGTCCCACGCGTGTTGAGAGTGGTCCTGACTCTGGGATTCACCTCCAGGCTGAGGATGAGAATAAAGTTTGGCAGCTGTTTAGAGCAAGTTCCTGACACATTGTTCCCTTCTCAAACTTGTTCTGCCCCTCTGGCCCCATCTGCACTTTCTGCCTCCTTGACTATAGAAGGAAGAAGACTGGAATTTTCCAACCCTGATGGGGGTTGGGGGAGGGGGTGTTGGCCAGGGACAGTTGCACCCAGCGCTGGCAGGTTGTAAGGCTAGCCTGGGGTGGAAGGTGGAGTCCCGGCAGGGGCAGAGCTGTCTGAGGTTCCTCAAGGTGCCTTTGCCTCCCCAGCCTGCCCTTTCCTTGTGAAGTCCAGGTTTGGCACTGAGGTTTTAGGTGTATCTCTCTTTACACCAGCTTCTGGGGGCCCTGCTGGCTCTCCCTCCCATTCCCCAGGCCATGTCCACCCCTAACTGGAATGCTGGAGAGGATGGGCCCACTGAGCTTAGACTGGGCATCTAGGGGGACCTCAGTGAGGAGCTGAGGGCTTTGTTGAAGTCCCTTCCTTAACGACCCATCCTGTTCTGCAGGAATGACACCAAGGAAGATGTCTTTGTTCACCAGGTAAGAGCTAGGTTAGCTTTCTGAGGGGAAGAACCGGCCGTCTTTGAAGGCCTTTGCTGTAATCCTTAGCAGTGCGCTCCGCCATGTTTCTCTGGCTCTTCTTCACAACGGCCCATCCGCCTTGGGTGCCTGTGTCAACCACCATTAGCCGCACTTGTGCTGGGTTACTAAACGTCCGTCAGAATTGAGCATGTTACCCCTGGGCATGGCACGCTTACTACCCACCGGGACCTGTTAACACTCCAGGAAGCACTGAGGCAGTTTTCAGAGGGAGAAGGTCCTTGGGTGCAGTGGTTCTCAAAGCGTGGCCCCTGCACCAGCGGCAGCAGCATCACCTGACATCCGAATTCTCAGGTCCCACCCCAGACCTGGTGAATCAATCAGAGCTGGGGCTGGGGCTCCACAATCGGTTTAACGAGCTCTCCAGGTGATTCTGATGCACGCTACAGCTTGAGAACCACTGCTTGGTGGAAAGAGCTCTCACTGGGACTGAGGTAAGAAGCACAGTGCATTCTACCCACTTTGCGACTGAAGGCTGTCCCTGCCTTTTGCTTTGGAGTTCATATTTCTTGCCTCCCTTTCTGAAATCCCTGAGGGGTAAAGCGGGGCGGGAGGGGAGGTGCGGGGAGTGCATCCTGGGGATGGTGGTAACTGCACAATCTGCTGAGGCCCTGAGTTCAGGACTTTTCCCCTGCTAAACTTTGACCACCTCCTTGCTCCACCCTCCAGCTCTAGACCCCAAGTCAAATGTTGAAAGAATGAAATTGGGTGGTGGCCCCAGCAGGGGTGACAGAGACTCCTGTCTTGCTGTCTCACTTTTCACATGGCCTTTTCCCCAATCAGACAGCTATTAAAAGAAACAACCCCAGGAAGTTTCTGCGCAGCGTTGGAGATGGGGAGACTGTGGAATTTGATGTCGTGGAAGGAGAGAAGGTTTGGGGACTGCTATGGGGTATAGAGTTGACTAGGCTTACGGGAGGGTGGCCTGGAGGTCATCACAGGCTAAGACCCTCCTGGGGCCAGCTCTGACCCGTTCTGCGGGAATGGGACTGTGTTCTCTCACCCTGATGTCCTCTTCCTTAATGCTAGGGCTAAGGGATGTCCTAAGTATGTCCCTGTCATCGGTCGGCAGTGTCTGGGTTTCTTCTCTAGTTCACCAAGCACTTCGACATCCGTTCTCCACGTGGGGCCCTGTCCTAGACTTCCCGAGTCCGCCTCTGGAGTAAAAAGGTGGATGCTGGCTGCCAGGCCTTTCTCCACCCAGTCGTATACTCAGGAGGGTGCAGTAGCAATTATTTCAAAAGGACATGTTGCTCCTTCCCAAATGGGTGCAAGCACATTCCACTGCCTCTCCAGGGAGGGTAGAAAGAAGTTAGAGGAGCTAAAGGAAAGCTGGAGAGGGGTCTTCCCCTGAAAGAAGGGGAAGCAAGTTGGGAAATGCACATTGGCTGTTGGAGCAGGTTCTCACTATTCCCTTACCACCTTCCCAGGGCGCAGAAGCCACTAATGTAACTGGGCCTGGGGGAGTACCCGTGAAGGGCAGCCGTTATGCCCCCAACCGACGTAAGTCCCGCCGATTCATCCCCCGGCCTCCCTCAGTTGCCCCACCACCCATGGTGGCAGAGATCCCCTCGGCGGGGACAGGACCTGGCAGTAAAGGGGAGCGGGCTGAAGACTCTGGGCAACGGCCCCGACGATGGTGCCCCCCACCCTTCTTCTACCGACGGCGGTTTGTGCGAGGCCCCCGGCCTCCCAACCAGCAGCAGCCTATAGAGGTGAGGGGATGCTGGAATATGGGAGCCAGTTCCCCAAGTTCAGGAGAGGAGTGGGAGTTAGGATAGAGACCATGGGTCCCCAAAGAAGGAGGAACTGAGGGTTGGGCAGAGCTGTGGATAATCTGGCTCCAGAGCAGCTGCTGTCCCCACAGCTCACCGGGGCCTTTGCATGTTCCCAGGGCACTGACAGGGTAGAACCCAAAGAGACAGCCCCATTGGAGGGGCACCAACAGCAGGGAGATGAGCGAGTCCCCCCGCCCAGATTCCGGCCCAGGTACCGAAGGTAAGACCCCCCTGCTGGGGCTTGGTCTTCCCCTTCCAGTGTTGGATCCTTGGGGCAAGGGACAGGAGGATGGAAGGGTGAAGCTCTAGGCAGAGCCTGGGCTCCTGGCGAGACAGGTGCCTTGCGGGGAGGCAGTGCTCATGGGCTGGAAGCCTGGCTCCTGGAGGTGGGGTGGGGCAGCTGGGTGAGCCCTGGGGAGGGAGTATTCCCTGGTCCCCTCAGAGCCTTGTTCCTTGCCTTAGGCCTTTCCGCCCCAGGCCACGCCAGCAGCCTACCACAGAAGGTGGGGATGGTGAGACCAAGCCCAGCCAAGGTCCCGCTGATGGTTCCCGGCCTGAGCCCCAGCGCCCACGAAACCGCCCCTACTTCCAGCGGAGACGGCAGCAGGCCCCTGGCCCCCAGCAGGCCCCTGGCCCCCGGCAGCCCGCAGCCCCTGAGGTGAGGACCTCAGATGTGGGATGAAAGAAAAGGCTGAGACCAGCTCCCTCCCCCACCTGCTCCTTTTTCTTTCCTACTCTATCCTTTGGCTCCTCCCCTCCCCTGCCCTGGCCCTGCCACCACCCTCTTCCATGCAGCCTGCTGGGTCCCCCCCTGGCAGGTGCCGCCTCCCACCAGGAAGCCCCCACAGAGGCAATCAAGCCCATGATTGCCCATGATGGCCATGCCCCCCCCAACCCATCCCCCACTTGCTGCCTGGAGCCATCCTACCAGCTTGTAGATGTGAACTGAGGGGTGTGATTGAGGTTTTAATGGGAAGGGAAAAAGTGAAAGAAGGTTGAAGTTCAGGGCCCTGAAGAACAAGTCTCAGCCCTGCGCGATGTCTCATGCCTGTAATCCCAGCACTTTGGGAGGCAGAAGCAGGCAGATCAGTTGGGGTCAGGAGTTCAAGACCAGCCTGACCAACATGGAGAAACCCCGTCTCTACTAAAGATACAAAAATTAGCCAGGCGTGGTAGCACATGCCTGTAATCCCAGCTACTTGGGAGGCTAAGGCAGGAGAATCACTTGAACTGGGAGGGGGAGTTTGCAGTGAGCCAAGATCACGCCACTGTACTCCATCCAACCTGGAGTGAGACTCTGTCTCAAAAACAAAAAGAACAAGTCTCAATTGGCCACCGCTGTTCTTTAGACCTCAGCCCCTGTCAACAGTGGGGACCCCACCACCACCATCCTGGAGTGATTCCAACTCAACTCAGAGGACACCCAGAGCTGCCATCTGGTGAGTGGCTGGTGCAGTTGGGTGGGTGGCCAGGAAGGTGAGGTACTGGGTGGCGATGACAAGTCGCTGTTGTTCACAATCCGTCCATTTCCTTTTCTCTCTCAGGTATCTGCCAGTTTTTCCAAATGACCTGTACCCTACCCAGTACCCTGCTCCCCCTTTCCCATAATTCATGACATCAAAACACCAGCTTTTCACCTTTTCCTTGAGACTCAGGAGGACCAAAGCAGCAGCCTTTTGCTTTTTCTTTTTTCTTCCCTCCCCTTATCAAGGGTTGAAGGAAGGGAGCCATCCTTACTGTTCAGAGACAGCAACTCCCTCCCGTAACTCAGGCTGAGAAGGAACCAGCCAGCTCTTACCTCCTCCTGGTTGCTTTTCTTGCCCCCACCCCAAGTTTATTTTTGTTTTCCCCCGGCCCCCTACCTCTGAAGCCATTTTATGATCTGTCATGTGCCACCTGAGCCTCCAGTAAAAACAAAAACAGGCTTTCCTGTGGTCTTGGTCTCCATCTCTTCTGTTTTGGAGAATCGCTAGTAACTCACTGTTGAAGGTGGGGAGGAGGGGATGTGGGGCCGTGGGCAGGGCCTGGCATCCTTGCTGCCATGTCTCCAGCTGTGTCCCTGGTGAAGAGTGCCCCTATCATGGGTTTCACTGCCCATCTGTGACATGGGCTGACACCTCCCTCACAGAGTGAGTATTCTGCAAATGCCAAGAGCAATGCCCGGCACTGGCAGCTACAATTTATTGAGCATTTACTATTAATAAAGCAACGAGTAGAAATGTGAGTAGGGGCATGAGCAATGGCATCCAGAAGATTCTGAGGCCTTGAGCTGAGGCAGGACAGAGGGAGGAAGAGGGGTGAAGAGTTATGGTCCCTGTCTCAGCCCATCCTCAAGTACCTCCACAATAGGATGCTTGTCTTCAGCAGTGACTTTATAGAAGTATCTATATATATACATTTAGTACAACCGACCTTTGGTTTCTTCTCTCAATCCCCTTTTCAAACGTATATAAAAATATCCAAAGGCTCCTCCCAGCCCAGTGTTTCCAGGCAGCCTTTCAAATCCCCTCTTTGCCTTAGTTGGTCAAAAGCCTGTGGATGCAGCACCCTTCCAGGAAGGGAGAGGAAGAAAGTTAGGGCTCCTTCTTGGCAGCCTTGGGAAACCATCGGGGTAGAGCCCCAAGCCTAGAGGCGGGAGCCTGCCGTCCTTCCATCTTGCCACACATGGGCACATACTTTCCTGTTCCCTCTTGCCCTGGAAGGCTGAGCCTGCAGTGAGGGAGGTGAGTCCTTTTCCCTGCAGGGGTCAAGAGAGAACTCCCTTCGCCAGGCGCGGTGGCTCACGCCTGTAATCCCAGCACTTTGGGAGGCTGAGGCAGGCAGATCACGAGGTCAGGAGATCGAGACCATTCTGGCTAACATGGTGAAACCGCGTATATACTAAAAATACAAAATAAATTAGCCAGGTGTGGTGGCATGCGCCTGTAGTCCCAGCTACTCCGGAGGCTGAGGCAGGAGAATGGCGTGAACCTGGGAGACAGCTTGCAGTGAAGCAAGATCACGCCACTGCACTCGAGCCTGGGCGACAGAGCGAGACTGTCTCAAAAAAAAAAAAAAAAAAAAAAAAAAAAACCCCTTTGCCCAGAGTCTGCGTGGCAAGAATTCAGTGAAAGTCCCAGATTGTGGGAGGAGTCCAAGGTGGTGGGAAACTGGATTTCTTGTCTCCTGTCCTGCTCTCTGCTCTGGTTTGTCCCACTGAGAAAGTCTAGACCTGTCTTCCCTCCAATCCCCCTTCTCTAGCAGCGAAGAAGGTATTCTGGAGCTGAGTCTGGGGAAGGTGGGGAGGAAAGGGGATGGGGGAAGGAAGAGGGAGGGGAGAGTGGCCCACCCTGATGGCCACGGCCAAACCACAACACATAAATAATCCAAGAGAGTCACACGAGGGGAATGAGGGGGTGCTCAGACCACCCTTCCCCCAGCTTCCCAATTCTACCAGGCTGCAGGGATTCTTTTCCACCCGGAAATAATAGGGAAGAGAGGGTTAAAGTGCTGCAGAGGAAAGGAAGGGGTCTCTGGGCCGGGTAGAGAGAGCTGGCTCTCCCACCCCTGCCTGGCCCCTCAGTCGTTCTCATCTGGCCCTAAATACTCAAGTTCTGTGCTGGGTTTCACCTCCTGCTCTAAAAGAGAGGGTGTCCGGTGGAAGGCAGCTGAGATCTGGTCAAACGTCCGGCCTCGAGTTTCAGGTACTCTTAAGAAGGTGAAGATGAAGAAGCCCAGCAGGAGGACCGCAAATAGAAGGAAGACGTAGGGCCCCATAGCCTCCTGGGACAGGTGGAGAAAGAGGTGTTGACGGAGTGAGGTGGGGAGGGAAGGGGTAGTTTCAGGCAACCAGGAGCTAAAGGCCTTCATAGGGAGCTGGGGGGACGGCAGACAGCAGCTGCCTCCTCCAGGGACAAGGGAAATGAGCAGGAATGAGAATTTACACTGAAAAGAGGATTCTCTGAACCCCAAACACTCTTAGTTTTCGCCCTCTTCACCATCCTCAGTTACTGCACTCAGAGGAGAGTCCCAGCTGTTTGTAGTATTAATGCAAAGTGTATCATTTTATTCTTGGAGTAAGGTAAGTTATGCCACTGGTGCGTTTCAGACACCTCAGTTACTATCCAATCTAGGTCAGCTCCCTTCCTTGCTTTGATTCTGTGGAGCAGGTGGTCCACCAAACTGACCCAAAGACCCATGGTCTGTGGCTGGAGGAGTCCCTGACGGGGAAGCAGGTGGGCTAGCTGTGTGATGCCCACCTCTGGCCTACGGTGTGGGAGGCTGGGGCGGGGGGACCTACCGCAACATACTGGAAACCCATGCCAATGATGAAGTTGCTCGTCCAGTTGGAGAAACCAGCCACAGCCATGGCTGCCGGGCGGGGTCCCTGGCTGAAGAGCTCGGCCACGATGAACCAAGGAATGGGGCCAGGGCCAATCTCAAAAAATGCCACGAAGCCAAAGATGGCCACAATGGAGACGTAGCTCATGGCTGGAACTCGCTCCTAGGGGCCAGACAGGGAGGGTGGAGAATCCAGTTGAGGCCTTTCTGATCTTCCCTTGCCCTCAACTCAGAGAAGTGAAACCTAACCCCCTCCGCAGCAGCTTGTAGGGGGCCTGCTGTCCCGGGTTAGAGCAGGCCCTTGACTGGCATTCTGCTGGCTATCCCAAGTGGGTTCAAGGCAGAGGAAATGTTATGGCCTCTCAGTTCTTATGACGGTCAGCTCTCCCTGGACTCTAAAGCTGGGTCCTTAGGAATGATTGTTCCTGAGGCTTGACAGGGGCTCTCCCTCCTGGCTGCCAGAGTTGTGCCACAGCTGCCTCCCAGTGCAGCCCAAATCCCTCAGGAGCAGACCACAATCCCAGCAGATTCTGGAGCCAGTCAGCCCCAGTCCTGGTCCGGAGCTGGCGCCAGGATTGAAAGCATGTGTGTTAAGAAGGGACCCTGGCTGGTCACAGAGACTCACAGGACCATTCCCATGGGGTGGGCTGCTAGCCCCTCCTAGCCTCCAGGCCTTACCAGCAGGAGCAGAGCCACAGTCATCAGGATGGCACAGCCACACATGCCCGCCAGGCCCAGGAGATGGAGCGTCCGGCGCCCCGCCCGCTCCACCAACAACACCTGCGGGGAGAGTCGGAGCTTGACCCCAGCCTTTTGGGCACGGGAAGTAGGAGGGGCCGCGTGGGTGAGGGCAACCAAGAGCAGGACCTCCGGGACACCCAGGGAGGTGAAGCCAGTGGCTCGGGCCATTCCAGAGGTGAGCAGTTACCGAGACCAAGGTGAAGACTGTGTTGACCACACCAGCTCCTATGGTGGCATAGGCAGGCTGGCCTACCCCTGCTGTCTCGAAGATGCTGGTCGAATAATAGAAAACCTAGAGGTGGGGGAGAAGAAGAAGTGATGGCAGGAATGCCCCTTCCTCTACTCCAGCCACAACAGGCTGGCCCTACCCTGGGTGTTGGTGGAGGGGGTTTGCTCCCCACTCTCGTCTACCCTCCCGGGGCTGTGCCCTGCCTGGAGGCTGCTCCACACATACAGCATTGATGCCAGAGAGCTGCTGGCTCAGCTGCAGCACGACCGCAATGATCAGGGGCTGCCGGTGGGTACGGCTGCCCAGGAGCTGGAGCAGGGACAGTGGCCGCTCACGCTCCAGCTTCCGCTTCTCATCCTTCAGCTCAGCCAGCACTCCAGAAACATCGGCCCAGCCTGTCAGGCGCTTCAGACCTGGAGAAGGGAAGGTCAGGCCTGAGGGGACCTGAGAGGAAGCCAGGTGCTAGCAAGATGAGGCGGAGGCATGGGCCTGGGCCAGGCTGCAGCGGGAGAGCTTACTCTTTCTGGCAGGCCCCTCGAGATTCTGGATGATGTAGAGGTAGCGGGGGCTCTCGGGACAGAAGGGCAGCAGGACCAGCTGCAGGAGGGCAGGTAGCACTGTGAGGCCCAGGAGCAGTGGCCACAGGCTGGCAGTGCCCAGGAGGGACTCCAAGCCCAGCACCTGTGGGAGAAGGTTGGGAAAGAAGGCAGGTCACTCAGCCCTTCTGCCTTACCTTGGAAGCCCACCATATTCTCCAGAGCCCCACTCTAACCACTGCCCAGGCACCCATGAGGCTTGCTCCGGTCACCTGGGCGATCAGAATGCCGATAACAATGGCCAGTTGGTTGAGCGTCCCCAGGGCGCCCCGCAGGTGAGTGGGAGCAATCTCCCCCACGTACATGGGCACCAGCCCTGATGTCAGCCCTGGGCGAGGGAAGAAGAGAGGGCTGAGGGCAGGTGTCCATTCCCATCTGAAAGCCCAGGCATGGTGAAAGAGAACAGGGCGCTAGGCAGGGCTGTGGTGCCCGTGAGTACCTGAGTAGGCGCCAATGAGGAATCGTCCAAGGATGAGCATTTCATAGGAGGCAGCAGCATTGGCCAGGCCCATGAGGCTGCCCCCCAGCACCGCCAGGACATTGTTGACCAGCATGGCCCTTTTCCTGGCAGGCAGACAGAGTGAGGCTGTGAGGGTGAGGGCACCCAGCAGTGGCTCCCTTCCTGTTTCCCCCACCCCTGCCCTCCAGCTGCGAACCTTCCAAGCCACTGAGAGATGATACCAATGAGGAAGGAGGAAATCATGCCGCCCACGGAAAAGATGGCCACGGAGAGGGCCCAGAGGGTGGTGAGGGTGCCTGGAGGGATGGAGCTGGGTCCCTCAGGCCCCTGCCTCCCCAGCCACGTCTCATTGTAGCTCTGTTCAATCACCTGGGGGACAGCAGAGGACAGATTTCCTGCAGACCGTCCCCTTTCCACCACCCCCGAGACACCTGTCCTCCTCGTTTGGGTACCCCCACCCTGCCAGCTGCAGGCCCTCACCTTCTGAGGGGCATTGATGACCCCAATGTTGTACCCAAACTGCAGGGAGCCAAGCACCGCAGAGAACACAGCAAGGACCAGGGTCCCAGTCACTCGCTGCTGAGGGGGTTCCCCATCCTGAACAGGCAGACACAAAGACACAGCATGTCACATGGAACCATGATTTTTTTCCTTCCGCTAGGGGCCCGGGCCCAGCTGGAGCCTGAAGATACTGGGCTCCACCCAACATGTTGGGTGAGGGAAACTGGGCCATATTAGGAATTGCACAAAGATCTCAATGTAAACAGGAGCTGAACTGCAACCTGGGCATAAAGGAGAAACTGGATGTTTGGGTCCATAAGGCAGAGAAATGTTTGAGAACTTGTCTCAAAATTCTTCTGTGACCTTGAGACAGGCTTGGCCTTAAGAGCTCAGATTTGTGTGACCTTGGCCAAGTCACTTCCCTGCCCCGAACCTGAGTGTCCTCTGTGAGATGGGGGTGATGTTGCCTGCCTTGCCTACCTATCTGTGAGAGTGTTGTGAAAATCAACATCACATGTTAACAATATCCTTGACAGTGCTGGTTTCATAAATTAACACGTGCATTATTATCATCAGCCACTGTCCTCTTCCCTCCCCTCTGGGGGTTCTGTCAGCCAGCTCCAGGAGGCCCCCAACAGGACCAAGAAGTGCTGTTCCAGAAAGGACATCCCGGTCATCTAGGGGTGGCCTTCTCTATCTACGTCGTGGCCTGCCCTCCCCCTCTAACCTCCGTGCAGGGAGGGCCGTCCAGGGGTTCTGCCTGGGAGAGCCATGCCCAGGGGAGGAGGGCAGGAAGGTAGTGTGAGGGGCGGTGGCAGTGGTGGCCGCTCGCTGGCGGCACAGACTGTCTCCAAGCGGAAACCTGAGCTGGAGGAGGGGGGGCTGACAGTCCCCTCTGCCCCTCCACCAACCATGGGGCCAAGGGAAAGTTCAGCGTCCTGGAGGGCGGCCAGGAGTGGGGGTGGGGGCCCACGGAGAGCCTCCGGTCCTCGAAACACTGCCCGTGAGCGAAGACGGACGGACAGCTCCCGGAGGGCAAGACCCGCCTGGATCTGCTTTCCCGAGTCGGATCGAGGGCAGGGTGTCCCCGATTCCGGAGCGCCGCGCCGCCTACTAGGCAAGGGGGTGAACCCTGGCTCGCAGAATCCACTTGCTGCCTGTGCCCCGAAAGGCCCTCCAGACCCACTCTGCCTTTTGGTAGGATTGGAATCTCACAGTCACGGGTTGTCCAGGCCGGGTATAAATAGCCAGCCCCCTACCTTCACCCCCTGCGCCTGCGCAGGAACCACCCCCAGCTGACCCCAACCGCGACCCCAGCCCAAGAAAAGCGGGACCCGTGCCCCCCCGCCCCGCCCCCTCATGATGAATCCTACTTCGGAGCCTATCTGTTGGAAGCCCGACGGCATCTCGTCTTAGAAGAGCTGGACGCGCAGGGGCGGCGAAGATGAAAGAACCGATCCTGGAGTCTCTGACTCCGGCCTGGAGCGCAGAACCTGCGGAGGCCGCGGGGGTCCCGGAGTGACGTGCGAGGGCGGGCCCGATGGGACCCACAGCCACAAGCCAAGGACCCGGAGAGCAGTGGGGCTCCCGCGGATCTGGTGGAGCGGGGCTGGGGGAAAAGACGCGAGAAGCCCCCGCCACCTCGCTCCTGCCCCCGCGGGCCACGCCCTTCACAGCACCCATTGGCCAGGAGCCCGCACACCCCAGAAGGCCACGCCCCCTCCGCCTGGGGTTTAGAGTTTGGCTGGAGTTGGTGGGGCGGGCCAATGAGGCCACGCCCCTCCGCGTGGCTGGCGAGACACGCCTCTCGGGTTCCCGCCAGCCTCCGACTGGGAAGTTTTGAGAAAAGAGTCCCTGGAACAAAAGGCCCCGCCCACCCACGTGTTAGGACTCCGCCCACCAGCTAGGATCCCGGGCTGCAGAAGCATCTTAAACTCTGCGGGTCTGGACAGTGGGGTCTGAGAGGAGAGGACGGGCCAGGTGTACTTGCCCCGGGGAAACTCCAGCGGCCTGAGACGGCTCGCGAGCCGGCGCGCGGGTTGGGAGAGGAGCAATGCCCCAAAGTAACCCGGGGCTGCTATTTTTAGCTCCCACGTTGGGAGCCTCCAAATGTCAGGTCCCGGGCGTCCCGGCCTGTCCCAGGCGGGGGCGGAGAGACAGGGAGATGACGCCTTAAAGAGTCCGCGACATGCTTCCCACGCGAGTGTGGCCCTGGGGGCCAGGAAATTCCGTTCCCACAACGGGTCTGGTGGCCGGGCTGCTTGGTCCTGTCTTTCAGCGCCTCCCTGCTCCGGGCACTGTCTATCCCGCCCTTCCCCTACACACATTCCCCAGGTTGGTTCCTGGAGCCGGTCCGAGGGACAAGTGGTCACAACCGACCACACCACCAGCCCTGAGGTCTCTGAGCCTCTGAGGTCTCTGAGCATATGCTGGCCGCGTGAACGACACGCTCTCTGGAGGCTGCTCCGGGTTTGGATCCTCGGCCAAATTCTGCCAGGCAGAAAGTGCGCGACCTAGGGTCGGCGTGTGGGGAGAGAGAAGCCGAAATACCCAGAGCGTGGAGAGTGTCTGGCTCAGAAAACGGGCTTCGGAAGCGCAGGGTTGTGCTGCCACCTGGAGGGCGAGCGAGGAGCCGCAGTGGATTGCACTTGGAATCTCAACCCACTATTTCTCGCCTTTCCGCCACCATAGGGCTTCAGTGACATCTGACCCAGGCCCTTCTCTGGAGCTGCAGATCCAGGTGTTCGTTACCGCCCGGATGTGGCAGCTCTAGTGATCAGCATGTCCAAACCTGCTCCTCCTCCTAACTTCCTTATTTCAATGAATTACCCGCCCAGTCACCCCTATGGTAGAAGTCAGGCTCGATTCCTCCTGTCCTGCGCCGCTCTCCTCGTTTATCCAGTTAGTTTCCAACATTGGTGCTTTGACCTCCAAAACTCTCTCACATTCATCCGATATTCTCCGTGGCGGCTGCCACTTCAGTCCAGATCACCATCACCCTCACTGGTCTTCGTGCTCCTCTTATTTCCTTTATGACGAGGGCAGAGAACAATTTTCGAAGGTCCAATCTCATCTCTCAAGCAAGAAGTCACTGTCTCTGTTGCCCCAATTGCCAAGTTCAAATCCCTTTTCAGAGTGAACAAAACCTCCTGCCTCTCTTATCCGATCTCTGGCCTTACCTATCTCTCCTGCCTCTCCTTCTATCTCCTTCGCCTCCTGTTCTGGGCAATGCCTAAGTCCTTATTGTACCCAGAACACACTGTGCCTTTACATCCCTTCTTGATTCCTTTGCTGCACTAATCCCCTGAAAAATCTGGAATGCCGGCCCGGCCTGGTGGCTCATGCCTGTAATCCCAGCACTTTAGGAGGCCAAGGCAGGTGGATCGACTGAGGTCAGGAGTTTGAAACCAGCCTGGCCAACATAGAGAAACCCCATGTCTGCTAAAGATACAAAAATTAGCCGGGCGTGGTTATGCACACCTGTAATCCCAGCTACTCGGGAGGCTGAGGCAGGAAAATGGCTTGAACCCAGGAGGTGGAGGTTGTAGTGAGCCAAGATCGTGCCCTTGCACTCCAGCCTGGCGACAGAGTGACTCCGTCTCAAGAAGAAAAAAAAAAATCCGGAATTCCAAAGGACTCCTCTTCATCCTTCAAAGAAAGCTTCCTCACCCAGTTCCTGCTCCACAGGTTCACTTTGTTTCCGGCTTCTGGGGACCTTGATCCCTGAGTTCCAGCACAGAAGATTGAACGAATGACAGTTATTAGCACACTGTCTTCACTGATCTATGTCTCATTTTTATTTTTGTTTTTGTTTGTTTTGAGACAGAGTTTCGCTCTTGTTACCCAGGCTGGAGTGCAATGGCACAACCTTGGCTCACTGCAACCTCCATCTTCCGGGTTCAAGCCATTCTCCCGCCTCAGCCTCCCGAGTAGCTGAGATTATAGGCATGCGCCACCGGGCCCAGCTAATTTTGTATTTTTAGTAGAGATGGGGGATTTCACCATGTTGGTCAGGTTTGTCTCCAATTCCCGACCTCAGGTGATCCACCTGCCTCGGCCTCCCAAAGTGCTGGGATTACTGGCGTGAGCCACCATGCCCGGCGATTTTACTGGTTTTGAGTTGAGGTCTCTGTTGCTCAGGCTCGAGTGAGAGGCACAGTCACCGATCACTGCAGCCTAGACTTCCTGGGCTCAAGCGGTCCTCTCACCTCAGCCTCCCAAGTAGCTAAGACTACACGTTCGATTCACCACACCCAAATGCTTATTCCAATGCATTCAATTATTCCAGTGCATTAAATGTTCATTTTTTTCTTTGTGCTCTTACAAAATATAAATCATTTTGTGTGCAAAGTTTTTTTTTTTTTTCTTTTTATGAGACAGTGTCTCGCTCTGTCACCCAGGCTGGAGTGCAGTGGGGCGATCTCCACTCATTGCAGCCTCCGCTTCCCAGGTTCAAGTGATTCTCCTGTCTCAGCCTCCGGAGTGGCTGGGATTACAGGCTTGCGCCACTGTGCCTGGCTAATTTTTGTATTTTAAGTAGAGACGGTTTCACCATGTTGGCCAGGCTGGTCTTCAACACCCGACCTCAAGTGATCTGCCCACCTCAGCCTCCCAAAGTGCTGGGATTACAGGTGTGAGTCACCACGCCCGGCCCAAACATTTTAAATTTCCATAAATAGCATCTTGTTATATATTTCACTCTGATCTTATTTTCAGTAATCACGATGTTTTTAAAATCCACTCGTGGCCAGGCGTGGTGGCTCACGCCTGTAATCCCAGCACTTTGGGAGACTGACGCGGACGGATCACAAGGTCAGGAGATCGAGACCATCCTGGCTAACACGGTGAAACCCTGTCTCTACTAAAAATACAAAAAATTAGCCAGACGTGGTGGCGGGCGCCTGTAGTCCCAGCTACTCGGGAGGCTGAGGCAGGAGAATGGCATAAACCCGGGTGGCGGAGGTTGAGGTGAGCCGATATCATGCCACTGCACTCCAGCCTAGGTGACAGAGTGAGGGTCCATCTCAAACAAACAGACAAACAAACAAACACAATGAGATCAGGCTGGGCACAGTGGCTCACGCCTGTAATCCCACCACTTTGGGAGGCCAAGGCCGGCCAAACACCTGAGGTCGGGAGTTCGAGACCAGCCTGACCAACATGGAGAAACCCTGTCTCTACTAAAAATACAAAATTAGCTGGGTGTGGCGGTGCATGCCTGTAATCCCAGCTACTCAGGAGGCTGAGGCAAGAGAATCACTTGAACCAGGGAGGCAGAAGTTGTGGTGAGTTGAGATCGCGCTATTGCACTCCAGCCTGGGCAACAAGAGTGAAACTTCATCTCAAAAAAAAAAAAAAAAAAAAGAGAGATCAGTTACTTTGTCAGATTTAGGCATTGCAGATACCTTCTCCCATTCTATCATCTCTATATTAATTTTTCCTTCATGAACTTCATGAAATAGATTTTTTTTCTTTTTTCATATGGAGTCTGGCTCTGTTACCCAGGCTGGAGTACAGTGGTGCAATCTCGGCTCACTGCAACCTCTGCCCACCGGGTTCAAGTGATTTTCTTGCCTTAGCCTCCTGAGTAGCTGGGATTACAGGTGTGAGCTACCACATGCAGCTAATTTTTGTATTTTTAGTAGAGACGGTGTTTCACCATGTTGGTGAGGCTGGCCTGGAGCTCCTGACCTCAGGTGACCCACCCACCTCGGCCTCCCAAAGTGCTAGGATTATATGTGTGAGCCACCGCTCCTGGCCAGAATAGAAATTATTAATTTAAGTGTAATGAAAATGACCATTTTTTCCCCTTATGGTTTGCAATTTTTGATAATTTGTATATATTCTTTCCCAACTCTGCACCATAAATGCATTCTTCTACATTTTCTTCCAGTAACTTTATAGTTTTACTTTTCACATTTAAGTCTTCTTGATTCCTCTAGAATTCATCCTTGTTTTAGGTGTTAGGGATCCAATTTACTTTTCTCTTTAGTGAACCACTTTTATCATATATCAAATTCTAATGTATGATGTAAGGGTCTGTCTCTGAATTTGTATTCTGTTCCATTGATGTATTTGTCTGTTCTTGCACAAGTTGATTTTTATGATACTTTGTAGCAAGTTTAAATTTCTGAGAAGGGCAAGAGACTTCTTGTTACTCATTCTTTTTTTTTTCTTTCTTTTTTTTTTTTTTTTTTTGAGAAAGAGTTTTGCCCTTGTTGCCCGGGTTGGATTGCAATGGCCCGATCTCAACTCGCTGCAACCTCTGTCTCCTGGGTTCGAGCGATTCTCCTGCCTCAGCCTCCTGAGTAGGTGGGATTACAGGCGCCCACCACCATGCCTGGCTAATTGTTTTGTATTTTTAGTAGAGACAGGGTTTCACCACGTTGGTCAGGCTGGTCTTGAACTCCTGTCCTCAAGTGATCCGCCCGCCTCAGCCTTCCAAAGTGCTGGATTACAAGTGTGAGCCACCGTGCCCGGCCATTACTCTTTCTTTTCACTGTAGACTTAATATTTGTTGTTTTTTATTGCTCTATACAAATTTGGAGATACACTTAACAAGATCTGTTTTTTAAAAAAACTTGCTTACATAAATTTAACGTTAAAAAAAAAAAGCCTAAAACAACAGTTGGATTTTTTTTTTTTTTGAGACGGAATTTCGATCTTGTCAACCAGGCTGGAGTGCAATGGCGCAATCTCAGCTCACTGCAACCTCTGCCTCCTGGGTTCAAAATATTCTCCTGCCTTGGCCTCCCAAGTAGCTGGGATTACAGGCGTGAGACACCACTATGGGCTAATTTTTGTATTTTTAGTAGAGATGGGGGTTTCACCATGTTGGTCAGGCTGGTCTCGAACTCCTGACCTCAGGTGATCCACCTGCTTCGGCCTCCCAAAGTGCTGGAATTACCGGCATGAGCCACCACACCTAGCTGCCAGTTGGATTTTTATTGGTAACATTGAATTATAAATTATTCTAGGGACAATTGATATCATTATAATATTAAGTCATCCCATTTGAGAGCATGGACTATTGATTTATATATTCAGGCTGTCATCTATGTATTTTATGAGAATTAAAAAACATTTTTCCACTAAAGTTTTAAGAATTCTTGGTTAATTCCTAGATACCTTATAACTTTGTCACTGATGTAAATTGCATGTTATTTATTTATTTATTTATTTTTGAGACATAGTCTCACCGTGTTGCCCAGGCTGGAGTGCAATGGTGAGATCTCAGCTCACTGCAACCTCCGCCTCCCAGGTTCAAGCGATTCTTCTGCCTCACTGTCCTGAGTATCTGGGACTACAGGCGTGTGCCACCACGCCCTGCTAATTTTTTGTATTTTTAGCAGAAATGGGCTTTCACCATGTTGGACAGGCTGGTCTCTGACTCCTGACCCCATGATCCACCTGCCTCGGCCTCCCAAAGTGCTGGGATTACAAGCGTGAGCCACCGTGCTTGGCCATTGAATGTTATTTTTGTTATTCTTTTTCTTTCTTCTTCTTCTTCTTCTTTTTTTTTTTTTTTGAGACAGAGTGCCACTCTGTTGTCCTGGCTGGAGTAGAGTGGTGCAATTATGGCTCACTGCAGCCTCCTGGGCTCAAGAAATCCTCCCACTTCAGCCTCTCAAGTAGCTGGGACTACAGGCGCACACCACCATGCCCAGCAAATTTTTGTATCTTTTTGTAGAGACAGGGCTTCCCTATATTGCCCAGGCTGGCCTGAAACCCTTGGGCTCAAGTACCCACCTACCTTGGCCTCCCAGAATGCTGAGATTACAGGCGTGAGCCACTGTGCCTGGCCTTTTTTTTTCTTTTTCTTTTTTCTTTTCTTTTCTTTTCTTTTTTTTTTTAACATTTTCTGATTGGTAATTTCTGGTGCAGTAAAATACTAGTAGTTTTTGTTTGTTTGTTTGTTTTATAGGTTAATTTTGTACACAACAACCTTTATGAATACCCTTGCTTGTTCTACTAGTCTTTCTGTTGATTTTATTTTATTTATTTGTTTATTTTAAGACGGAGTTTCGATTGTTACCCAGGCTGGAGTGCAACGGCGCTATCTCGGCTCACTGCAACCTCCGCCTCCGGGCCTCAAGCAATTCTCCTGTCTCAACCTCCCGAGTAGCTGGGATTACAGGCATGCACCACCATTCCCGGCTAATTTTGTATTTTTAGTAGAGGCGGGGTTTCTCCACGTTGGTTAGCCTGGTCCCGAACTCCAGACCTCAGGTGATCCACCTGCCTTGGCCTCCCAAAGTGCTGGGATTACAGGTGTGAGCCACTGCGACCGGCGATTTTATTGGTTTTTCTAAGTAGATGATTATATTACCTGCAAATAATCAGGGTTTTTGTTTTGTTTTGTTTTCTTGTTTTGAGACGGAGTCTGGCTCTGTTGCCCAGGCTGGAGTGCAGTGGCACGATCTTGGCTCACTGTGACCTCCACCTCCCAGATTCAAGCGATTCTTCTGCCTCAGCCTCCCAAGTAGCTGGAATTACAGGTGTGAGCTAGCACATGCAGCTAATTTTTGTATTTTTGGTAGAGATGGGTTTCACCATGTTGGCCAGGCTGGTCTCGAACTCTTCACCTGTTGATCCACCCACCTCGGCCTCCCAAAGTGCTGGGATTACAGCCGTGAGCTACCGCGCCCGGCAAATAATCAGTTTTATTTTTTCCTTTCGTATCTTTGCACTACTTGTTTCTTTTATTTCCTTGTAGTATTGCTCAAGACCTCTAGGATTTTGTAAAATAAGTGTGGTAACAGTGGACATCTTTGTTTTTTTCCCCAAGAATAAAAGAGATGAGTCCAACATTATTCATTAAGTATAAGAATTTCCTATCTAACCTTTGTTTGCTAAAGGTTTTTATGATAAGCAGGTATTGAACCTCATCAAATGCCCTTTAAAATTCTCATTTGAGATAGCCATATGATTTTTTTTCCTTTTTTTTTTTTTTGAGACGGAGTTTTGCTCTTGTTGCCCAGGCTGGAGTACAATGGTGCAATCTCGGCTCACCACAACCTCTGCCTCCCAGGTTCAAGCGATTCTCCTGCCTCAGCCTCCCGAGTAGCCGGGATTATAGGTGCCCACCACCACGCCCGGCTAATTTTGTATTTTAAGTAGAGACGGAGTTTCTCCATGTTGGTCAGGCTAGTCTCGAACTCGCAACCTCAGGTGATCCACCCGCCTCAGCCTCCCAAAGTGCTGGGATTACAGGCGTGAGCCACTGCGCCCAGCCTCTATTTTTTTTTTTTTTTTTTTTTGAGATGAAGTCTCGCTCTGTCACCCAGGCTGGAGTGCAGTGGTGCGATCTCGGCTCACTGCAACCTCCGCCTCCTGGGTTCAAGTGATTCTCCTGCCTCAGCCTCCCGAGTAGCTGGAACTACTAGTGTGTGCCAACACGCCTGGCTAATTTTTTGTATTTTTAGTAGAGACAGGATTTTGCTGTGTTAACCAGGATAGTCTCGATCTCCTCACCTCGTGATTCACCCACCTCGGCCTCCCAAAATGCTGGGATTACAGGCAAGAGCCACCGCATCCTGCTGATTTTTTTCCTTTAGTCTATTATTGTGATAAACCACATTGATGGATTTTGTAATTTTTTCTTTTTTTTGAGACAGAATCTTGCTGTGTTACCCAGGCTGGAGTGCAGTGGCATGATCTAGCCTCATTGCAACCTCTGCCTCCTAGGTTCAAGCGATTCTCCCGCCTCAGCCTCCTGAGTAGCTGGGACTACAGGCGTGCGTCACCACACCCGGCTAATTTTTTTGTATTTTTTTTTTTTTTTGAGACAGATTCTCGCTCTGTCACCCAGGCTGGAGTGCCGTGGCATGATCTCGGCTCACTGCAAGCTCCGCCTCCCGGGTTCGTGCCATTCTCCTGCCTCAGCCTCCCAAGTAGCTGGGACTACAGGTGCCTGCCACCGCGCCCGGCTAATTTTTTGTATTTTTAGTAGAGACGGGGTTTCACCATGTTAGCCAGGATGGTCTCGATCTCCTGACCTCGTGATCCACCCACCTCAGCCTCCCAAAGAATTTTTTTGTATTTTTAGTAGAGACGGGGTTTCACCATGTTGGTCAGGCTGGTTTTGAACTCCTGGCCTCATGTGTTCTGCCCATCTCAGCCTCCCAAAGTGCTGGGATTACAGGCGTAAGCCACCGCTTCCAGCCTAGTTAAGTAATATTTTATTAAAGACTTCTGTGTCTATATTCATAGATTAAATGGGCCTAGAATTCTTTTCTTATATTATTACTAACTGATTTCAGAGGCAAGATTACCCTAGCCTCATAAATGAGTTGGTCACTTTTTCACTTCTTTTCCAAATCTGTATCTCAAATATCTACTCCAGAATGAACCATAGTAGACCACTTAGCCCAGCCTCTTGTTTCCCAAGTAGGCAAAAACATTATCACTCCTATTTTAAAGATGAGATAGTCGAAGCCCAAGAATGAAGTCCTGAAGGAAGCAGAATTAGAACCTGGAATATCATTTGCCTTGAAATAATCAGTAACCAATTACTTTATAAATAATGCTGCAAGTTTCCAAAGTTAATTTATGTATCAGTTTTTAGAACTCAGAACAATTTCCTGTAGAAACAAACAAGTTGGTTGGGTTTTCATACGAGGTTGATTAACTCATAATGTCATCATCCACCACCCCATACTGTAGTGTACATCCCCTAATATCACCCAATCTTCCAACCAGACTTGACCTTTCAAATTTTTCCACGGTTACCTCTGGACTCAATGTCTGTCATCATTCTTATAAGCCCATCCTCTTCTCTGAACCTCCCTTTCCTAGACCTTACTGAAACCTGGCGTCTGGAGGGCACACTTCCCTGGCAGCCCTCTTTACAGAGGCTTGTTCATCGGTCTTTGCATACTGCAGAGTAGAGTTGGGTGGATTGCTCCCTAGTGCTGCGTCTAGACTCTTTTTTTTTTTTTTTGTTTGAGACAGCCTGCTCTGTCGCCCAGGCTGGAGTGCAGTGGCGCAATCTCTGCTCACTGCAACCTCCTCCTCCCGGGCTCATGCCATTCTCCTGCCTCAGCCTCCTGAGTAGCTGGGACTACAGGCGCCTGCCACGACGCCTGGCTAATTTTTTTTGTATTTTAGTAGAAACGGGGTTTCACCATGTTAGCCAGGACGGTCTCGATCTCCTGACCTCATGATCCACCCGCCTCAGCCTCTCAAAGTGCTGGGAGGGATTACAGGCGTGAGCCACCGTGCCCGGCCTTTTTTTTTTTTTTTCTTGAGATGGAGTCTCACTCTGTTACCCTGGCTGGAGTGCAGTGGCGCGATCTTGGCTCGCTGCAACCTCCGCCTCCCGGGTTCAAACGATTTTCCTGCCTCAGCCTCCTGAGTAGCTGGGATTACAGGCGTGCATGACCACGCCCGGCTAATTTTTGTATTTTTAGTAGAGATGGGGTTTCACCATGTAGGTCAGGCTGCTCTCGAACTCCTGAACTCGTGATCTGCCCCCCTCGGCCTCCCAAAGTGCTGGGATTATAGGCATGAGCCACCATGCCTGGCCTTAGACCCTTATTCTTTCTTCATCTTTCAAAATCCTCTGCTTTTTGAAATTAACGTCTCAAACTATATGATCTGCTGCCTCTACTTGTTGCAAGGGTCTTCAAACCCGGTTGTTCACCCACATTCACTGATAATGTTAGCACCTGGCTCATCTTCTTCCTCTTTTCACCTATTTTTTCCTAACATCATCGTTGATAACTTCATAATCCATCAGGGCAATCCATTGTGGCCTCTCCACTCCTCAGTCTCTTCTCCAGTGATTTTCCTCTTCAGCCCATCCTCAGACCTCTACCCTAGGTTTTGTCATCTCCAAAAACAAACTCTTCCAACTTTTTTTTTTTTTTTGAAATGGAGTCTCGCTCTGTTGCCCAGGCTGGAGTGCAGTGGCGCCGTCTCGGCTCATTGCAACCTCTGCCTCCCGGGTTCAAGCGATTCTCAGCCTCCTGAGTAGCGGAGATTACAGGCATCCACCACCATGCCTGGCTAATTTTTGTATTTTTGGCAGAGATGGGGTTTCACCATGTTGCCCAGGCTGGTCTCGAATTCCTGACCTCAAGCTATCTGTTGGCCTTGGCCTCCCAAAAGGCTGGGATTACAGGCATGAGCTGCCATGCCTAGCAACAATTTTTTTTTTTTGAGACAGAGTCTTGCTGTATTGCCCAGGCAGGAGTGCAGTGGTGTGACCTCGGCTCATTGCAATTTCTGCTTCCTGGGTTCAAGCAGTTCTCATGGCTCAACCTCCCAAGAAGCTGGGATTATGCCTGGCTATTTTTTTTTTTTTTTTTTTTTGAGACTGAGTCTTGCTCTGTCACCCAAGCTGGAGTGCAGTGGCGTGATCTCGGCTCTCTGCAGGCCTCCGAGGCCTGGCCAATTTTTGTATTTTTAGGAGAGACGGGGTTTTGCCTTGTTAACGGGTCAGGCTGGTCTCAAGCCTCAAGCAATCTGCTTGGCCTCAAGTGATCTGCTTGCTTCAACCTCCCAATGTGCTAAGATTATAGGCGTGAGCCACTGTGCCCGGCCTTCTTCCAATTTTTTGAATTCAAACCAGGAATGTTTCATAATCACCTCTAGCCTTCTAGTTCATTTACTCACATATCCTCACTTTTTTTTTTCCTTTTTAAAAATTTTATTTATTTATTTATTTATTGAGACAGAGTTTCACTCTGTTGCCCAGTGGCGCAATCTCGGCTCACTGCAAGCTCCGCCTCCCGGGTTCACGCCATTCTCCTGCCTCAGCCTCCTGAGTAGCTGGGACTACAGGAGTGTGTCACCATGCCTGGCTAATTTTTGTGTTTTTAGTAGAGACAGGGTTTCACCGTGTTAGCCAGGATGGTCTCGATCTCCTGACCTCGTGATCCGTCCGCCTCGGCCTCCCAAAGTGCTGGGATTACAGGCTTGACCCACCGCACTCGGCCTCTTTTTTTCTTGAGACAGGGTCTCCCTCTGTTGCCCAGGCTGGAGTGCAGTGGAATGATCATGGCTCACTGTAGCCTCGACCTTCCAGGCTTAAGCAATCCTCCCACCGCAGCCTCTCGAGCGAGTAGCTAGGACTACAGGTGCCAGCCACCATGCCTGCCTAACTTTTTGCTGTTGTATTTTTTTTGTAGAGGTGAGGTTTTGCCATATTGCCCAGGCTGGTCTCCAACTCCTGAGCTCAAGTGATCCACTTACCTCAGCCTCCCAAAGTGTTGGGATTACAGACATGAGCCACCATGTCCAGACTCATGTATCCTCACTTCTTTCACCTCATGGGGACCTCTAAACTTTTGATCCTACCAGTTTTTCACTATCCACCAACTCTTTTGTGTTTTCTCTCCCTCTTACCCAATTTATATCTATAATCTAACACAATCACTCTCGTGAAAATATTATAAAATTCCTTCTTCCTCTTTTTAGTAACACCCAACCCTAGTTAATTTCAACTATTCATGTACTTGGATCCCATTTTTTCTCTTTTTTTGAAGGAGTTTCAGTCTTGTTGCCCAGGCTACAGTACAATGGTGCGACCTCGGCTCACTGCAACCTCCACCTCCTAGGTTCAAGTGATTCTCCTGCTTCAGCCTCCCGAGTAGCTGGGATTACAGGCACATGCCACCACACCTGATTAGTTTTGTATTTTTAGTACAGACCGGGTTTCTCCATGTTGGTCAGGCTGGTCTCGAATTCCTGACCTCAGGTGATCCGCCCACCTCAGCCTCCCAAAGTGCTGGGATTATAGGTGTGAACCACCACGCCCGGCCCCTACTTGGATCCTTTTATCCAACTAGTTACTTCAAGGCTATTAGAGGAAAAAAATCCATGATGATGCTCACCAGTCACGCTTTACTGGGACCCATTTTACTCCTCTCCTCCCTGGGACATTTGGCAACGTCTGGAGACATTTTTTGTCACACTTAGGTACAGGGGAGGGTACATCTAATTGATAGAAGTCAGAGATGCTCCTAAATATCCTATAATGCATGGGACAACAAAAAATTATCTAGCCCAAGAGATAGCAGGGGAGAAAATGTCAACAGTGTCAAGGTTGAGAAATTCTGCTTTAAATTAATTACTGTGAGTCTCAAAGGGGCAATCAACAGCAGGCCTTTGCCCTTTGCCCTTGCTGTTCCTTCTGCCTATAATATGGTTCCCTCGTGGCTTACTATTATTATTTTTTGTTTGTTTGAGATGGAGTTTTACTCTTGTTGCCCAGGCTGGAGTGCAGTGGCATGATCTTGGCACACTGCAACCTCTGCCTCCCAGTTTCAAGCGATTCTCCTGTCTCAGCCTCCCGAGTAGCTGGGATTACAGGCACACACCATCATGCTCGGCTAATTTTTAAAAATATTTTTAGTAGAGACGGGTTTTCACCATGTTGGCCAGGCTGGTCTTGAACTCCTGACCTCGGGTGACCCACCTGCCTCAGCCTCCCAAAGTGCTGGGATTACAAGCATGAGCCATTGTGCCTGGCCACTGGCATATTATTTAGCAGTCATTTCCTCAAAAAGTTCTCTCTAACCTCATCCTAGAGTAGATTCGACCTCATCAGATTACACTGCTTTATTGCTTTCAAAACATGCACCGTTTTGTTTATGTCTTTATTGTCTGCTTCTTCCTTCTAGAAAATAAGTAGCATGAGTTCAGTATCCTTATCCAGTTTGCTTCCTGCTGTATCTCCAGGGTCAACTATAGTGCCTGGTCTTTTTTTTTTTTTTCAGACGAAGTCTCACTCTTGTCCCTCAGGCTGGAGTGCAATGACGCGATCTCGGCTCATTGCAACCTCCGCCTCCTGGATTCAAGCAATTCTCCTGCTTCAGCCTCCCGAGTAGCTGGGATTACAGGCACCTGCCACCACACCCAGCTAATTTTTGTATTTTAAGTAGAGACGGGGTTTCACCATGTTGGCCAGGCTGGTCTCGAACTCCTGACCTCAGGCGATCCACCCACCTCGGCCTCCCAAAGTGCTGGAATTACAGGTGTGAGCCACTGCACCCAGCCTTTCTTTTTTTTTTTTTTTAAATTATTGAGACAGCCTGTTGCCCAGGCTGGAGTGCAATGGCGCGATCTTGGCTCACTGCAACCTCACAACCTCCGCCTCCCGGGTTCAAGGGATTCTCTTGCCTCAGTCTCCAGAGTTGCTGGGACTACAGGCGCGTGCCACCACGCCCGGCTAATTTTTTGTACCTTTGGTAGAGACGGGGTTTCACCATGTTGGCCAGGCTGGTCTCAAACTCCTGACCTCGTGATCCCCCCGCCTCAGCCTCCCAAAGTGCTGGGATTACAGGCATGAGCCAACATGCTTGGTCTCCCCCCCTTTTTTTTTTTTGAGACAGAGTCTTGCTCTGTTGCCCAGGCTGAAGTACAGTGATGCAGTCTCGGCTCACTGCAACCTCTGCCTCCCAGGTTAAAGCGATTCTCCTGCTTCAGCCTCCCGAGTAGCTGGGATTACAGGCCCCTGCCACCACACCCAGCTAATTTTTTGTATTTCTAGTAGAGATGGGGTTTCACCATGTTGGCTAGACTGGTCTCGAACTCCTGACCTCGTGATCCTCCTGCCTCTGCCTCCCAAAGGGCTGCGATTACAGGCATAAGCCACCACACCTGGCCGCACCATTTTTTTTTTTTAAGAGACAGGATCTCCCTCTGTTGCCCAGACTGGAGTGCAGTGGCATGATCATAGCTCACTGCAGCCTCGAACTTATGGGCTTAAGTGATCTTCTCACCTCAGCTTCCTGAGTAGCTGGGACTACAGACATAACCACTGTGCCTGGCCATGTCTGGCACATTATAGACACTTAGAAAATATTTGTTGAGGGCTGGGTGTGGTGGCTCGCACCTGTAATCCTAGAATTTTGGGAGGCCAAGGTGGGCGGATCACCTGAGGTCAGGAGTTCGAGACTAGCCTGGCCAACATGGTGAAACCCCATCTCTACCAAAAATATTTAAAAAATTAGCTGGGCATGGTGGTCCGTGCCTGTAACCCTAGCTACTTGGGAAGCTGAGGCACAAGAATCGCTTGAACCTGAGAGGCAGAGGTTGTGATGAGCCAAGATCGTGCCACTGCCTTCCAGCCTGGGTGACAGAGCAAGACTCTGTCTCAAAAAAAAAAAAGAAAAAAGAAAAAAGAAAATATTTGTTGAACAGTGAATGAAAATATTGTTTATTTGCAATTTATTCATTCATTCCTCAAATATTTATTGGTGATAAAATCCAGACACATCTCTACCCTCTTGGAGCATACAGTATAGTGGGGATATTGACATTGAATAAATAAGTACATAAAGTAAATACAGTATTTTCAAACTGTGATAAGAGCTTTGAAAGCAAAGTACTGGTAGCCGTGAGAGCACTATGCAGATGATCTGACTCAGTTTGGGGTGGGGTGGTCAGGCCAGGCTTTCTAAAAGAAGTGCTATTTGAGGGATAGCTGAAGGATTAGTTGGTTAGCTGGATAGAGGAAGGTGGGTGGGAGTGGATGGAGAAGAGCTTCCAGACCCAGAGAACAGACTGTACAAAGGCAATTCAGTGGGCAGGAACAGAGAAGGCCAGTGTGGCTGAGGCAGTCAGGTCAGCCATGGTGTGACACTTACTGGGAAGAACACGAGTGTCACTGAAAGATTTTATTTTATTTTATTTCTTTTTTTTTTTTTTGAGACAGTGTCTTGCTCTGTCGCCCAGGCTGGAGTGCAGTGGCGCGATCTCAGCTCACTGCAAGCTCCGCCTCCCAGGTTCACGCCATTCTCCTGCCTCAGCCTCACGAGAAGCTGGGACTACAGGTGCCCACCACCACACCCGGCTAATTTTTTTTTTTTTTTTTTGTATTTTTAGTAGAGACGGGGTTTCACCATGGTCTCGATCTCCTGACCTCGTGATCCGCCCGCCTCAGCCTCCCAAAGTGCTGGGATTACAGGCGTGAGCCACCGCACCCGGCCAACTGAAAGATTTTAAACAGGAAATGACAAAGCTCTGAGTGAGTAAGAAGTGGTCACTCCAGAGAATAGAGTTTAAAATGACCAGTGTGGAAGGGAGATTGGTTTGGAGGCAGTTGCTGTGTCCAGTCTTGGGCTGGTGTGGCGTGGCGGCAGTGAGTTTGGAGAGAAGCTGGATATAGTTAAGTGATGACAAATATTTTCTTTTAGAGCTAAAAGGAAAATTTTCAAGAAAATCTCAGCTGGTCTGAAGGTAGTGAATTATTTCAATTGATTGTTCACAGTCAGTTACAGACGGAACTTCTTTTTCCACTCTCACTGCTTTCTCACTACTGCATCTGACTAGTCTTTTAACATAATAAAAAAAAAGGCCGGGGGTGGTGGCTCAGGCCTGTAATCCCAGCACTTTGGGAGGCCGAGGCGGGCGGATCCCGATGTCAGGAGTTTGAGACCAGTCTGACCAACATGGTGAAACCCCATCTCTACTAAAAATACAAAAATTAGCTGGGTGTGGTGGTGCGCGCCTGTAATCCCAGCTATTTAAGAGACCGAGGCAGGAGAATTGCTTGAACCCGGGAGGCGGAGGTTGCAGTGAGCCGAGATCGCACCACTGCACTCCAGCCTAGGCAATAGAGCAAGATTACGTCTCAAAATAAAATAAAATTAAAAAGAAAAAAAGAAAATCTCACCATCGGAAAAAAAAAAAAAAAAAAAAAGGTCGGGGCCAGGCGCAGTGGCTCACACCGGTAATCCCAGCACTTTGGGAGGCCGAAGCAGGTGGATCACCTGAGGTCAGGAGTTCGAGACCGACCTGACCAACATGGTGAAACCCCATCTCAACTAAATACAAAAAGTTAGCCGGGTGTCGTGGTACATGCCTGTAATCCCAGCTACTTGGGAGGTTGAGGTAGGAGAATTGCTTGAACTTGGGAGGCAGAGGTTGCAGTGAGCTGAGATTGTGCCATTGCACTCCAGCCTGGGCGCAGTGGCTCACGCCTGTAATCTCAGCACTTTGGAAGGCCAAGGCGGGCGGATCACAAGGTCAGGAGATCGAGACCATCCTGGCTAACACGGTGAAACCCCGCCTCTACTAAAAAAATACAAAAAAATTAGCCGGGCGTGGTGGCGGGTGCCTGTAGTCTCAGCTACTCAGGAGGCTGAGGCAGGAGAATGGCCTGAACCCGGGAGGCGGAGGTTGCAGTGAGCTGAGATCGTGCCATTGCAC
Organism: Homo sapiens; assembly: GCF_000001405.40. Classification (NCBI taxonomy): domain Eukaryota; kingdom Metazoa; phylum Chordata; class Mammalia; order Primates; family Hominidae; genus Homo; species Homo sapiens. Next base: position 20,509 of record NW_021160020.1, on the reverse strand, counting down.
TCCAGCCTGGGCGACAGAGAAAGACTCCGTCTCAAAAAAAAAAAAAAAAAAAAAAAAAAAAAAAAAAAAGGAAAGTCAGTTGCGGTAGCTCACTCCTGTAATCCCACCACTTTGGGAGGCTGAGGCAGGGAGATCACTTGAGGTCAGGAATTTGAGCCCAGCCTGGCCAACATGGTGAAACCTCGTTTCTACTAAAAATACAAAAAATTAGCTGGGCGTGGTGGTGCGCGCTTATAATCCCAGCTACTCGGGAGGGTGAGGCAGGAGAATTGCTTGAACCCGGGAGGCAGAGGTTGCAGTGAGCCGAGATCGTGCCACTGCACTCCAGCTTGGGTGACAGAGCGAGACTCTGTTTCAAAAAACAAACAAAGCCAGAACAATGATGACACGTGGCTGTAATTGCAGCTATTTGTTGGGGGGTGGGGGGGCATGCTTTGAGCCCAGGAGTTCAAGGCTGCAGTGAGCTATAATTGTACCACTGCACTCTAGCCTGGGCGACAGAGTGAGACCCGGCCTCTAAGAGTACATTAATCCAGAAAAGTACCATTAATCCAAAAGTACAACAATAAAAACGAATAACAAACAGTTCATGGCTGGGAGCAGTGACTCACGCCTGTAATCCCAGCACTTTGGGAGGTCGAGGTGGGTTGGGATCACCTGAGGTCAGGAATTCGAGATCTGCCTGGCTAACACGGTGAAACCCCGTCTCTACTAAAAATACAAAAATTAGCTGGGCGTGGTGGTGGGCACCTATACTCCCAGCTACTTGGGAGGCTGAGGCAGGAGAATCACTTGAACCCAGGAGGTGGAGGTTGTAGTGAGCCGAGATCATGCCATTGCACTCCAGTCTGGGCGACAAGAGCAAAAACTCTGTTTCAAAAAAAAAAAAAAAGAGTTCATGAAAGTCTTCATTTTATACAAAAGCAGGTCAATTAGCTTAGCATAAGGGGGACTTTAATATGTTTAGCGAATAAACGAAGGAAAGACAGAGAAATGTTTGAGAGGGCAAAACAAAGATAAAAAACGTGAGAGAGTTGAGGTAAAAAATGGAGAGAGGAAAATGAAATGAGAGAGAGCCAGAATAAGCAGGGTATGTGAGAATCTGAGAAGTATGAGGAGGTTGGAGGGTAGTAGGAAGATTGGGAGGAAACTGGGCAGGGTGGGTGGGGAAAGTGCAGTGTGCACCTAAGAAGAGGAAAGAAAGATTAATTGCTGATGCTGGGTTCCAAGGAGACTGGAGACAAGGCGCAAAGGTAAACGAAAAGACAAGGAGTGGGCTGGGTGCGGTGGCTCACGCCTGTAATCCTGCACTTTAGGAGGTGGGGGCAGGGGGATTGCTTCAGTTCAAGTGTTCAAGACCAGCCTGAGCAACATGGTGAAAACCCTTCTCTACCAAAAATACAAAAACTTTAGCTGGGCGTGGTGGTGTGCACCCGCGGTCCCAGCTACTGGGGACGCTGAGGCGGGGTGATCGCTTGAGCCCAGGAGGCGAGGCTGCAGTGAGCCGAGATTGCACCTCTGCACTCCAGCCTGGGTAACACAGACTTCCTCCTCTCAAACAACAACAAAAAAAAGACAAGGAGTGAAACAGGAAGCTCCAAAGCAGGAAAGGCAGGAAGGGGAGATGACCAAAGATGAAGGAGGAAGGAGCAAAAGGCTGGAAGGGGTGCCGGGAGGAAGGAGGGAGCAATGCTTTGGGGAGAGATAGCAGGACTGCAGGGTGAGGGACCATGGACGACCACCTTAGAGAGCCAGATTATAGGGAGGACGGAACAGTGAGGCGTGACAGAGTGCACAGCAATTGGCAGTCCAAGCCCAGGCCCGGGAGGGAAAGAGAAACGGGCGAGTGTGGGGGAGGGGTGGGAAAGGTGGAGGATAGGTCTGAAAAGACTCTAAGGGAGGGGAACGATGGGTGTGGCCAAGACTCTGACCTAGCCCTCACCCTGCTCCCCACCCTCGGCCGGCTTTAGGTCCCAGTGGTTTCTTCCTCCAGTTAGGAGCCTTGATGCCGGAGGGGACAGTGGTAGGTGGGGAGGTTGAGTGCAAAGGGTTCAGGCTGTAAGTCATGTTGGGTTGGAATGGGGGCACAGGAAGGTGGGGCTGTTGGGGAGCCACGCTAAGCCGGGTGTCTGTAGCAGAGCCAGAGAACCGGGACACTGAAGAGGGTGCTGAAGGGGGCGACTCTCAGGGATCGAGCCAGGGCCCCCGAAGGTGGGATCGACCAGGGTAGGAGACAGGAAAAAAAAGGAGAGCAGCGGGTGGGGGCGAAAGCAGGGCCGAGGAGAGAGCACTTTGGACAGAACCCGGCGGGGAAAGGGCGGCGCCGAGGCTTGTCAGGGGCGCCCCGCAGCGTCCCAGGCGCACCTGTTGGGAAGAAAGGAAGGGGCTTCCCGGTGTTCGAGGGAAATCCAGTCCGGAGGGGCTGACTCGGAGCTTGGGACTCCTGGGGAGCCACCGCCTCCTCCCCAGCGGCGGTCAAAACCGGGCAAGCGAAGGGGCGTGACCCTGGTGCTCAGGTTTCTTCCTCCTCACCTGGGCAAGGAGGGGTGGGGGCCACGACTTCCGGTTCAGGTGAGTGTCCCTTCGGTGACGTCAGGTCATCCTCGGCCGCCCCTCCGGTCCCGCCTCCCCCTCCCGCGCTCCCGGGGCGCGCGGGCCGCGCCCCCGACGCCCTACATATACTCAGGTGCGCCCCACCTGTCCGCCCGCACCTGCTGGCTCACCTCCGAGCCACCTCTGCTGCGCACCGCAGCCTCGGACCTACAGCCCAGGATACTTTGGGACTTGCCGGCGCTCAGAAACGCGCCCAGACGGCCCCTCCACCTTTTGTTTGCCTAGGGTCGCCGAGAGCGCCCGGAGGGAACCGCCTGGCCTTCGGGGACCACCAATTTTGTCTGGAACCACCCTCCCGGCGTATCCTACTCCCTGTGCCGCGAGGCCATCGCTTCACTGGAGGGGTCGATTTGTGTGTAGTTTGGTGACAAGATTTGCATTCACCTGGCCCAAACCCTTTTTGTCTCTTTGGGTGACCGGAAAACTCCACCTCAAGTTTTCTTTTGTGGGGCTGCCCCCCAAGTGTCGTTTGTTTTACTGTAGGGTCTCCCCGCCCGGCGCCCCCAGTGTTTTCTGAGGGCGGAAATGGCCAATTCGGGCCTGCAGTTGCTGGGCTTCTCCATGGCCCTGCTGGGCTGGGTGGGTCTGGTGGCCTGCACCGCCATCCCGCAGTGGCAGATGAGCTCCTATGCGGGTGACAACATCATCACGGCCCAGGCCATGTACAAGGGGCTGTGGATGGACTGCGTCACGCAGAGCACGGGGATGATGAGCTGCAAAATGTACGACTCGGTGCTCGCCCTGTCCGGTAAGGCCGCGGGACCGACGGGGCGGACGCGCCCTTGACCGAGGTGGCGGGGTGGCGCGCGTGGGAGAGCCGAGGCCCCACGGCTGGGGGCCCTGGGTTGCCGGGGAGCTGCAGGGCGAGGAAGTGGTCGGCTGGGGGCGGCGGGGCTGGGCGGGAGCGGGCCGGGGTTCCGGCGGCTGCACGTGGGCGCGCACCTCGGTCGCCCACGTTCCTCTTCCTCCCCCAACCCAGCCTCGTCCCCGGCTCGGAGCAGCGGTGCTTAGGCCGGGGCCATCCCCTCCTCCATTCCCGGGCAGGCCATGGCCTCCGTCATCTCCCGTCCTTTTCTCAGACAGAAACGGCCCCGGGGCGCGGGGCACGGGGCGCGCCGAGGGCCGAAGGGCGGTGCGGCTGGTCAGAGTGGGCCGCCGCCTGCTGCCTCTAATCTTATCGGCCGATTAGCCGAAGCCACAAACCCGGTGGCCTCGATAGCGGGCTCAGAGCAGGGACGCCGGCTGGCATGTGCGCCGCGCGGGGCTTCGGACCACCGTCTCGGCTTCTCTTCGCTGCACCCTTTCACCCTTCCCCCTATCCAGGGCAGTTTCACCGAAACCCCGGCGCCCCGGGCGGATCCTTGAGCGGAGAGGGCGGGGCGGGAGCAGGAAGGCCGCGCTGTCGGGAGGGGCGGGGACCTGCCCGCTTGGCCCAGGTCTTGGACACCTGGGCGCCCCTGGCCCTCGGCAGAACACGGCGCCGGACAGAAGAGGTCCAGCGGTTAGTGGGCGCGGCCGGCGGCACGAAGGCTGGAGCCGCCTGCATTTCCAGCAATGACGGCGCCCTTTCCCCTCGCCCGCAGCGGCCTTGCAGGCCACTCGAGCCCTAATGGTGGTCTCCCTGGTGCTGGGCTTCCTGGCCATGTTTGTGGCCACGATGGGCATGAAGTGCACGCGCTGTGGGGGAGACGACAAAGTGAAGAAGGCCCGTATAGCCATGGGTGGAGGCATAATTTTCATCGTGGCAGGTGAGCCCCCGGGTTCTCCCATCTGGGAGGAGCAAGGCTGGGCAAGGCGCCCATTTGGGGCCTCACTATACTGAAACCCTCATTCTGTCTCCAGGTCTTGCCGCCTTGGTAGCTTGCTCCTGGTATGGCCATCAGATTGTCACAGACTTTTATAACCCTTTGATCCCTACCAACATTAAGTAAGTCTGGGAACCCTGCCTCCTAAGGGGACAGGTCTGGGGTCCTGGAATAGGGAGGAGGGCAGAGGCACGCCAGGGTTTCTAACCACCCCCTTCTCTTCACAGGTATGAGTTTGGCCCTGCCATCTTTATTGGCTGGGCAGGGTCTGCCCTAGTCATCCTGGGAGGTGCACTGCTCTCCTGTTCCTGTCCTGGGAATGAGAGCAAGGCTGGGTACCGTGTACCCCGCTCTTACCCTAAGTCCAACTCTTCCAAGGAGTATGTGTGACCTGGGATCTCCTTGCCCCAGCCTGACAGGCTATGGGAGTGTCTAGATGCCTGAAAGGGCCTGGGGCTGAGCTCAGCCTGTGGGCAGGGTGCCGGACAAAGGCCTCCTGGTCACTCTGTCCCTGCACTCCATGTATAGTCCTCTTGGGTTGGGGGTGGGGGGGTGCCGTTGGTGGGAGAGACAAAAAGAGGGAGAGTGTGCTTTTTGTACAGTAATAAAAAATAAGTATTGGGAAGCAGGCTTTTTTCCCTTCAGGGCCTCTGCTTTCCTCCCGTCCAGATCCTTGCAGGGAGCTTGGAACCTTAGTGCACCTACTTCAGTTCAGAACACTTAGCACCCCACTGACTCCACTGACAATTGACTAAAAGATGCAGGTGCTCGTATCTCGACATTCATTCCCACCCCCCTCTTATTTAAATAGCTACCAAAGTACTTCTTTTTTAATAAAAAAATAAAGATTTTTATTAGGTACGGGGGTGTTCTACTCTCTCACATTACCCCATGTCTTCATCCTACCTTCTGTCCTGATGAGACGCTGCTTCCTGGCTCACAAGGCGGGGCTCCATAGACAAGGGGAACCAAGGTGGGGCAGGGACAGGGTAAGGCTAACACAAACAATAGAAAGATGGTTCTGGGCCCAAAGTCTTCCCGCGCCCCCTCCAATTACAATCTAATCAAATCTGGCCAGTCAAATATCCAGGTCGTCATCTGGGTCTTCTTGGTCCAGGTCATCATAAGCATCTGGCTCATAGAAGATGTGGCTGGTAGCCTGCCCTGGCCTAGGCCGCAGGAGAGCCTGCTGTCTGAGAAGGGAAGATTTGGTGCTGGTGAGGGTAGCTAACAGGTTGGGTCTGGATACTTTCTTCCAGGTGACTGTGACTCTCATTCAGGCAACCTGTTAGGCCTCCATGTCATTTTATTGGTCCAAGTCCCTTTCTCTGACCTCCATGTTAGAGCTGAAGCACCATTTGGTACTGGGATAGATACCCTTGTACTGCTCTCCTAATAAAACCGTAAGTTCCTAGCAGCTTGAGGGCAAGGATCTTGTAGTCTTGCGTCATCCGCCCACATACTGGGCACAGAACAGCAAGCGTGTACTAAGCCCTTGTTAACCAGCCTCTGCCACGCCCATATAGCCTTCTGTCCTCCTAGCACCACTGCCTAGGGATAGGGCCACCTCCCAAGGGTCTGGTCTGGCTCAGCCCAGGCCCAGGGTGCTCTGGGGACAACTGGAGCTGTGACCCAAGGGTATAAGGGAGAGAAAAGAGACATAAAGGTCCTCTGCCATTATAGGGGGAATGGGTGGATCAAGAACTTGGACTTGTCTCTGGAGGTGGACTTCAGTCCCTATAAAGTCAGGTTAATCAATAACCTGTTGCCCCAACCTCTCCATGGCCCAGATGCTGGGATCTACTCAGGGATCCACGTACCCAGGTCCCAACCTTACTTTTCAGAACTGAACTGGAAGGGCAGGATCAGGCTATCTCTGGCTTCTCTCTCTTTCTTGGACAGGTGAAGGTTAAAGGTCAAATGAGTTGTGGGATCCACCTGTAGGTACAAAGGATGCTGCCACTCTGCCCCATCCCTAGAATCCCTGACCCCACCCCCAACCTCTGCAGCTTTTATTTTCTCTCCCGTGACCAGATACTAAACTACATTTCCTTGTTCTGGCCTTGGCATTCTTAGATACCGGGGGTATATGAGGATCGGAGTAGGGCTGGGACTCTACAGAGGGCCCCTCTTGGAGATCCAGGCTGAAGTCCGGAAGGATGGAGAACCACTGAGTCTGGAGAGAAAAAAGAAAAGAGTTTTTTTCATCTTACTGAAGAAACTAGACAGACTCCAGGACCTCACATCCTCAGCCCCCAATCACCTATTTAACTGACTGCTTTCAGCTCCTGCCCTCAACTTTTTTTTTTTTTTTTGAGACAGGGTCTGGCTTTGTTGCCCAGGCTGGAGTACAGTGGCGTGATCTTAGCTCACTGCAACCTCCGCCTCCCAGGTTCAAGTGATTCTCCTGCCTCAGCCTCCCGAGTAGCTGGGATTACAGGCACGTGCTACCACACCCAGCTAATTTTTGTCTTTTTAGTAGAGATGGGGTTTTGCTATATTGGCCAGGCTGGTCTCAAACCACTAACCTCAGGTGATCTGCCCACTTCGGCCTCCCAAAATGCTGGGATTACAGGTGTAAGCCACTGCGCCCAGCCTCTATTTTATTTTCAAAAGTGAAAGCAAGTTGATTAAGGAAGTAAAGGAATAAAAGGATGGCGACTCCTTAGGCAGAGCAGCCCACTTACTCCTTTTTTGAGACGGAGTCTCACTCTGTTGCCCAGGCTGGAGTGTAGTGGCATGATCTCGGCTCACCTCAACCTCCGCCTCCCAGGTTCAAGTGATTCTCCCACCTCAGCCTCCCGAATAGCTGGGACTACAGGCACCCACCACTATGCCCAGCTAATTTTTGTATTTTTAGTAGAGATGAGATTTCACCATGTTAGCCAGGCCGGTCTCGAACTCCTGACCTCACAATCTGCCCACCTCGGCCCCCCAAAGTGCTGGGATTATGGGCCTGAGCCACCTCGCCTGGGCCCCACTTACACTTTATAACCTTGGTAAGTGACTTAAATTTAAACCTCCTTGGGCCGGGTGCAGTGGATCACACCTGTAATCCCAGCACTTTGGGAGACCAAGGCCAGAGGATGGCTTGAGCCTAGTTATTCAAGACCAGCCTGGGCAACAGGGTGAGATCTCATCTGTATAAAAAACTAAAAAGCTGGCTGGATGTGGTGCTACATGCCTGTGCTCCCACCTCCAGCTACACCAGAGGCTGAGGCAGGAGGATCACTTGAACATGGGAGGTCAAAGCTGCCGTAAGTTATGATTGCACCACAGCACTCCAGCCTGGGCAACAGTGAGACCTTGTCCAATAAAAAAAAAAAAAAAAACTCCAAGGGAATAAAACCCTCCCTGGACTGGCTTTCCAGCCTGAAAAATGGTGATAATAAAACAATCTACCTTAACCATAGCTGAGAGGATTAAATGAAGTGAGTGATAGAAAACAGAGAAATACCTAAATCAGCTTTTTTTAAAAAAAGGTCTCACTGAGGGCTGGGCACAGTGGCTCACGTCTGTAATCCTAGCACTTTGGGAGGCTGAGGTGGAAGGATCACTTGAGCCCAGAAGTTTGAGACCACCCTGACCAACACAGTGAAACCCCATCTCTAAAAAAGTTTGTTTTTAAAGTCTCCTTGAAACATCAGCATTTTCATTGTTCTTCCCATCGTGCCACCCCTTTCTCTGTCCCCCGTTTCCAGTCCTTCTCTGTTGGTTCTTCTGACCTGGTCAGTTGGGCGCTGTCGGGGCCTCCGACACAGGATGTGGGCCGAGGCCTGGCCCATGGTACCGCCCAGGGTCACCTCAGTCTGAGCAAGGCTGCTGAGAGCTCCCACAGGGCCTGGTCCATGAAGCTCTTCATGTAGCAAGCCCAGCACACTCACTTTCCCCACTGAGGAGCTGTCACCTAGAGGAGGACAAGAAATGTAGGATAGTAGGGAGCATTCAGGTTGGTGGCCTGGGAGCTAACAGTGAAGAAGAGAGAGCCTCACAATTCCATCACAGTGCTGCCAAAATCCTGACGTCCCTTGGCCAATCTCACTACCGTGCTCTGAGCCTCCTCCAGCCCACACCTTAATCTCCTCTATCATCCCAATGTAAAGCTGATCAAGGCACCGCTCTAACTTCTATTCTTCAGCAGCTCCTGCCTTCAGGATGGAACGAACGCTTCCAGCAGGTGGTGTCCACTTACTTTCCAGCCTCATCTCTTACACACGGAAGTACTTGTAGTTTCTGGAACTTCCCAAGATCTCAGTCAGTGCCTTCAATTCTCTGCCTCCCTTTTTGGGAGCATTTAGAGAGTGTCAGGTACTATGCTAAACGCTTTAACACAATGTTTGAATCCTTACAAAGGTCAGCGTTTTTAGGTCAAACTGTATGAAATCACTGACATTTAACAATTTTTTTTTCTTTTCTTTTTCGAGATGGAGTCTTGCTCTGTCGCCCAGGCTAGAGTGCAGTGGCGCAATCTTGGCTTACTGCAACCCCTGCTACGGGCTCAACAATACTGCCTCAGTCTCCTGAGTAGCTGGGACTACAGGCGCGTGCCACCACGCCTGGCTAATTTTTGTATTTGGTAGAGACGGGGTTTCAGCATCTTGGCCAGGCTGGTCTTGAACTCCTGACCTCGTGATCTACCTGTCTTGGCCTCCCAAAATGCTGGGATTACAGGCATGAGCCTCTGCGCCCGGACTGTTTTTATTTTTTTGAGATGACGTCTTTCTCTGTCACCCAGGCTGCAGTACGGTGGCGTGATCTCAGCTCACTGCAACCTCTGCCTCCTGGGTTCAAGTGATTCTCCTGCCTCAGCCTCCCGAGTAGCTGGGATTACAGGCGTGCACCACCACACCCAGCTAATTTTTTGTATTTTTAGTAGAGACAGGGTTTCACCATGTTGGCCAGGCTGGTCTCCAACTCCAGGTGATCCGCCCGCCTTGGCCTCCCCAAGTGCTGGGATTACAGGCATGAGCCACTGCGCCCAGACAATATTTAACAACTTTTAACCTAAGAAATGGCAATATAGTGGTTCATCCTAATACTTCCCTTGTACCTTCCCCCATATACAGGGGAAAGTGAAGCAATGAGAGATCAAGCACCTTAATACAAAGCTGGGCGTCTGACTCCTAAGTCCATTCGAGTACCCACAGTGCACTTCAAGGCTAGTCTCAGTGCCCCTGCCCGGCCAAATTTGCCTGGATGACCTCTTGCTCTTCAAGAGAGTGCCTTTTTTTTTTTTTGAGATGGAGTCTTGCTCTGTCGCCCAGGCTGGAGTGCAGTGGCCCATCTCAGCTCACTGCAAGCTCCACCTCCCGGGTTCACGCCATTCTCCTGCCTCAGCCTCCCGGGTAGCTGGGACTAGAGGTGCCCGCCACCAAGCCCGGCTAATTTTTTTTTGTATTTTTAGTAGAGACGGGGTTTCACCATGTTAGCCAGGATGGTCTCGATCTCCTGACCTTGTGATCTACCCACCTCGGCCTCCCAAAGTGCTAGGATTACAGGAGTGAGCCACCGCGCCCGGCCAAGAGTGCCCTTCTTTAAGGTGCCCTGTGCATGCCTGTATCATCATGGCCTTTATCAGACCATCTTGTAACTGCCTGTTTACTTATCTCCATCTTTTATGGGACTTCGAGCTCCTGGAAGGCAAGGACCCAGCTACAGTCAGTCTGTATTTTGCCATTATCTAGAATTGTACCTGACACATTGTATATATTTACTATTGATTTGTTAAATGAATGAATGAGTGAAACAAATGAGTAAAAAAATAACTTGGAGAAAAAAAAGCAAATGGTAGATGGCATTAAGGAGAAGTAAAAAAAAAAAAAAACAGACAAAAAAGTCAAAAAAATGAAAAAAGGTCTGACTGGAGAACCCAGATGTTTATTCTAGGGTAGAAAGGAAAAGGGGCACACTCCTTGGCAGAGGGAGATGTATGAGGGGAAACAATGAAGGAGGGGTCTCACCAGGACAAGAGTCCTGATGGCTCACAGCATGCAGGACCTGGCAGAGTGTGGTGCAGGGAAGGCGAAGTAGCAGCCAGCTGAGTGAATCGAGAGCAATGGTGACAGGAACAGGATCTGTCCTCTTGCACATGGCTCTCAAGGCTCCCAGCGGCCCCCCAGGAAAGGCCTCCTCAGTTTTTGACCAGTTGAGAGGGTCTCTGAAGAAGTCATGGTAAACCAGCCTGCAAAGGGAAAATAAGACACAATATAATATTGCCCCTTCCCCCGAGAGGATCACAAAGTTCATCCTCTGATCTTTATGGCTGTTTTCTCAATTTTTATGAATATCCTAAATATTAGTGAAAGATAATTACTGAGAGAGAGCATACAGTGATTGAGAGCACAGACTTTGGTGTCTGACAGCCTGATCTCCAAGCTTGGCTTTGCTACTTGCCCAAGGTCAGCTAACTGATACATTATTTCTAAGAGTTGCCTCATTGGTGAAATGAGATGCCAACCTCTAAGCATTCAGCACAGTGCTTGACACATAGTATATGCCTGATAAATGTTAGTTATCACCATTATCAAATATTTCCTGTGTGTGGCACCTAAAGATTATCACCCTGGGTGAAAAAAGAGAAAGCAGAGGACGTGAGATTTGGTCCTGCCTGTAGAACAGCTTAAAGAAAGTCAAGAATTAAGTCAAGAAGTAACAACTACAGAAAAAACAGCTCAGGAAAGGGAGACTGGCATAGGTAGCAGAACTTTTTTTCCCAGATATCTCTTTTCTATCTTCTCTTGTGGAGTGCCCGCTTTTTTTTTTTTTTTTGAGACAGAGTTTCGCTCGTTGCCCAGGCTGGAGTGCAATGGCGTGATCTCCGCTCACTGCAACCTCTGCCTCCTGGGTTCAAGCGATTCTCCTGCCTCAGCCTCCTGAGTAGCTGGAATTACAGGCATGTGCCACCATGCCCAGGTAATTTTTTGTATTTTTAGTAGAGATGGGGTTTCTCCATGTTGGTCAGGCTGGTCTCGAACTCCAGACCTCAGGTGATCCACCCGCCTCAGCCTCCCAAAGTGCTGGGATTACAGGCGTGAGCCACCGCGCCCAGCCATGGAATGCCATCTGAACATACACCACCGCCTCTATCACAACAATGGCTGATGCAAAATTGGAGGCTCAACAGATAAGATGTAAACTACTATTATCATCCACTGAGTTGCCGGGACTAGGAAGTAGAAAGCATCCTACTAATGGTTCTTAATGTCTCCTGATCAGGCATGCCGCTGGGTTTAGGAACTTCCTTATCTCAATACTTTCTTCTCCCCCATATTAGTCAATAAATCCTGGAAATTCTACCCACTAAAGTCCTTTACATGTGTTCTAAACTTTCCATCTCTACTGCCACTGCCTTAAACCAGGCCTCTATCACTTCCTACCATTATTCCCTAAAATTCATTAGGTCAGGAACAGGTCTCACTCACTGCCGTCTCCAGTATCTTGCACAGCACCTGGTTGATAGTTGGTGCTCGGTACATATGTACCTTAAAGAGTGAAGCCGGATTAACGGATTACTGCAATACCCTTCCCACATGTTCTCCCTATTTCCAGGCTATTTCTCTCTCGACTTCTATGATCTTTGCTTTGGACTCCCCAAATACTCATCACTCCTCTTATTAATTCTTGCCTCCTGAAAGATCCATATCCAATTCTTCAATGAATATTTAAGGAACTGCTACTACATACCAGGTTCTGCGCTTGTTGTAAAGAAATTTCCTTAGCATTATAGGTCTCAAATTTAATCAAATCTCTTCCAACTGGTACTTACCGATTGTTGATATCAGAGTCAAAACCTTCACGAAACTCTTCCTCGCTCACTTCACAGCCCAGGATATGCACTTGCTCCCCACTAAGGCAGAGATGAGAAGGGATTGTCAAAGAGTGGGCACAGGTGCCCTATCCAGGGTAGGCCGGGGAGACACTGTGGGATACTCACCACAGTGCAGATTTCTTGACAAGCGCCTTCAAGAGACTGCGCCCCTCCCACTCCACGGAATCTGCAGAGCGAGGGACGGATAAAGGGTATGAGAGCGCTGGGATTACCGCCTTCGCGAACCCGTCGCGATTTCCACACCTAGCCTGTGACCCCTGGCCCTTCCTGCCCACTTCCGTCCCCTCAGCCAGGCCCGAACCGCACCCCCCGCCCCGCCACCGTGCCTCTGGCTCTCACCCCGAAGCAGCACCAGGCCGCCCAAGGCCAACAGCGAGTCCAACATCTCCAACTCGCGTCCGGTCCCTGCTCTGGCGCCCTCTGATGGCGTCATGACCCAGTGTCCTTCCTCCTCGGGGTGAAACGGGCCGAGCACTCGGGCGTCCTCCCACCATTAAGACCTAACATAGTCTGGAATGAGAGGTGATTATGTTCAATATTCCCAGGGGGGCGCTCACGCGGAGGGCGCCCCTCCCCGAGCCCTGGCGCACAGTCGTACGGACAACGACCCCGTCTACATTTTCACTGTGACCGGGGCGGGAAGAGCAGTTGGGGCAGTTGTCAGTGGGAGGGGGAGGAGGACCCACAAGCCCCCCGCGAGGGCCCTAAGCGCGGGCCAAGTGACGTCACTCTCCCCGCCCACGCAGTTTGAGGCGGGGCCTGCTTCGCCTCAGGCCCCGCCCCGCGGCCACCTTCTGCGCGTGCGCAATACTGCAGCCTCGCTTGGAGTGCTTTTGGCTTTCCTTATACCTACCCGCCATAGACCGCGCAGGAGGAACTTAGTCCCGGTGAAGCGAATACACGTCACCACCGGAAGTAGTGTCAAAGGGGAAGAGGAGGGGGAAAGACAGGAAGAGGGAGTCCTTTGGACGGTAAAATGGCGCCTGTCAGAGTGGGAAACCCAGCTGCAGAGGCTGCAGCCCCGGTCCCCAGCGGCTAAAGGACCCCCGAGCTCGGGGAGGGGGAGGCCGCTCCGGCCCAGCGCTCTGCGCCCTCCGGCTCCCCCTCCCCCTCCTTCCCTGCTCCTTCGCTCTGCAGGCCCGTTCTCCGCTGCCGCGGCCCTTTGCGCGCCGCTGCCCCCGCCCTCCCCGTTCCTGCGAGCAGCCCCCTAGCGCGCCTGCGCAGCGGGCCACTCTCTGCTTTCCCCCCCTCCCCTTCCCTTTTCCCTTCCTCCCTTTTCCCTAGCCCCCTCCCCCACTGCCCCCTCCCCCAATTATCCTTCCCCTTCCCTCCAGGTCTCGGAGGACCCCATCCTAGCCCTACCTGTCTCGGCCCGCAACCTCCCCGAAGCCGTCGGTGCCACTCCCAGCCCATGTGGGCCCCCGCGGGCTGCCCACGCCTGTCCCCCAGCTCCCCGTTCCGCTGGGCTTTACCCTCGCCAGGGGTGGCTTTCTGAGCCGCCCGCTCCGTGCCCCTCTCTGCAGCCTCTCCTGCCACTCGGGGCCCCCGTTCCCCCTCCCGGCGGCGGGGGGCTGCCCCCGGGGGGCTGGCGGAGCTGGGCCGCGGGGGCCCCGGGGCCGGCGGTGCCGGGGTCATCGGGATGATGCGGACGCAGTGTCTGCTGGGGCTGCGCACGTTCGTGGCCTTCGCCGCCAAGCTCTGGAGCTTCTTCATTTACCTTCTGCGGAGGCAGATCCGCACGGTGAGCCAGGGTGGGCGCTGGCGGTGTTGGGGACGTCTGGCGGTGTTGGGGACATCTGTCCGTGGTGCTCAGGGGTTTTCGGAGTGTCGGGCCTCTGTTTGGGCCTAGGAAGGGAATCCTGGCTGGGGCTTTTCTCGCCAGAGAATTGGGCACCCTAAGCGGGGCGAGGTGGGAGACCCTTGTAATAGAACCTTGCCCTTGGGGGTTTTGATGGGGCTAGATGGGACAGGATTTGGCAACTCTTGGGGGCTAAGGTGGTGGGTGGGGCGCTCTTTAAGAAAGCTGGAGTTGTTGCTAAAGAAACCAAGAGGCGGGGAACACCTGTTTGATGACAGCCGGATCTGTGGATGTGGGCTTGGGAAAGACCCTATTTGGAACCTCGGTGTGTGTTTGGTCCTATAACAAGGAAGAGACAGACTTGTGTGTCAAGGGTGGAGGTGGGTGGGAGGGCATACGTTACAAACAAGGACGGGAACTTGGGAAAGCCCTGGGTGTGAAGGAGAAACGCCTGCGGTTCCCATTAAGAGAATTCCTCCAAAAAGGCTGTGAAAATTTATTTCATAGTGTGAGTGTAGGTATCTGGATTTATTGAAGACTAAAGCAGATGCTTTTACGATGGGCCTCTTTAATTGTGGGAGGGAGTTCAAGGTGGGTGCTGTGCCCACCATTGAAGTTTGGGTGTCCCTGTCAGAGGACAGCGCTGGGCAGTTGTAGGGCTTGAAAATGAGGACGTTTGCTTCTCCAGGAGAGCCTAGCATTCTGAGGGAAACTGTCCGGATGGACCCAAGCATCTCTGGGTCCCCTCTCCCTTAGCTTTTCTCCAAGGTCAGAGGTCCTTCAGCTAACAGCACTTTAAATGAATGTGCTCTTGTGGTCTCACCACCACCAGGGAGAATCCTCGGAAGGAGTCTGGGGAGAATTTAGTAAGCGGAGACACAGGTTCTGGGTCTGTACTGTGGTCTGTACCCCTTAGCATACCTCAATACAATTTGAAAGAATAAACCCAGGTTGGGGTGACCTGGGGTCCAGAGAATTTCCAGAAAGCCCTCAGTGGTAGTGGTGGTTGATTTAACTGATTTGGGAGAATGGGTCTGGCCTTGGGTTCATTCTGTCCTTTACCAGTCTGCTTCCACTTCCTGATTTAGGGCGCGAACAGTACAGGATGGTTGTGGCTGTAGGCAGCAGCGCTATTCCCCCGAGACAAGAGCTAGGAGCCAAGAAAAATTTAGGGTCAGAGATGCTGGGATATGTGTGGGGCTATCTCCTGGGGTTTTCTTTTCTTTTCTGAGACAGTCTCGCTTTGTCGCCCAGGCTGGAGTGCAGTGGTGCCATCTCCGCTCACTGCAACCTCCACTTCCTGGGTTCAAGCGATTCTCCTGCTTCAGCCTCTCGAATAGCTGGGATTACAGGCACCTGCCACCACACCTGGCTAATTTTTGTAATTTTAGTAGAAACGGGTTTTCACCATGTTGGCCAGGATGGTCTCAAACTCCTGACCTCAAGTGATCTGCCCGCCTTGGCCTCACAAAAGTACTGGGATTGAGCCACTGCACCCGGCCTCCAGCGGTTTTCTTTATGGGTTGACTGCCATCTTCTCTGACGTTCTCGCTCCAACACATCAGTTTTCTGGGCATACGGAGTGGTGCTTCAGCTCATCCACAGGTTACTTCCAAAATTGCTCTCCTTTGGGCAGCACTGACCCCATAGCCTTTTGTCCTCCCTTCCCTTCCAATCTGGTTTCTTTCCCCACCCCGCTTCTGGCAGATGCTTGGAGCATTCCCTACATGCCCAGCATATGCAACCCGAGATAGCAAGGCTGGACACTGGAGCTCTTTCGGACCTCATCATGGCCCAGGGAGAAAAGAAGGGCAGATCTTGATTAGGGGGAGAGAGCCCTGTGGGTTTAGAAGGGAGAACCTGGTTCTGGTGTGGCTTGGGGCCTAGGTATGCACTGAAGAGGGTTTGTACCTTTGAAGAAAAGTGTGGAAGAGGGAATTGCCAGGCTTTGTATGGGGAGATGTGCGTATTAGGAAATAGCCCCTAGAGAATGCTTGGAGAAGCAGAGCTGGATGAGGTGGTGACGTCCTTGTCCCTTATTCACCTCTCACTTAACGGCCCTGACTTCACTCTGGCCTCCTCCAGACCCTGCCAGTCAGCCTGGCAGGGGCTTTCCAGTGTTCTTTGCCTCACCCTGGGTACCAGGATAAGGAGACTGTTCAGAGGGCTGAGGTTCTCTGAACTTGTGACTTGGCTAGAAGGGACAGAAGTGGACAGGTGGCTGGTTAAAATAGGCCTGGTGGCTTCTAGCCAGAGGAACTTAGCTGACCTGACAACCTCTGGATTCCCTCATTCTATATTCCCATTAAGGACCCAGGGATCTCCTCCCGACTCCTACTCCATGTGCACTAGGGAATCTGAGGCACTTAGTTCCCAATGATGGTAGTTGCTACAAATAATTCTTGGGGTGAAGGTTGCGTTGTGGGGGTCGTTTCTTTGTTCAGTGTAGCAGGATAATATCACAGTTAAGAGGGCAGCTTCGGCCGGGGGTGGTGGCTCTTGCCTGTAATCCCAGCACTTTGGGAAGCTGAGGCAGGTGGATCATGAGGTCAGGAGCTCAAGACCAGCCTGGCCAATATGGTGAAACCCCGTCTCTACTAAAAATACAAAAATTAGCTGGGCGTGGTTCGCGCGCCTATAGTCCCAGCTGCTTAGGAGGCTGAGGCAGGAGAATTGCTTGAACCTGGGAGGTGGAGGTTGCAGTGAGCTGAGATCGCGCCACTGCACTCCAGCCTGGGCAATGGAGTGAGACTCCCTTCTCAAAAAAAAAAAAAAGAAAAAAAAAGAGGGCACGTTCTTGGGTTGAACTGCATTGGTACAATCCTGGCTCTATCACTTCATTGATTCTACTTTTTTTTTTTTTTTTTTTTTTTTTTTTGCGACGGAGTCTTGCTCTGTCACCAGGCTGGAGTACAGTGGTGCGATCTCGGCTCACTGCAACCTCTGCCTCCTGGGTTCAAGCCACTCTGCTGCCTCAGCCTCCCGAGTAGCTGGGGCTATGGGCACGCACCACCACGCCCAGCTAATTTTTATATTTTTAGTAGAGACGGGGTTTCACCATGTTGGCCAGGATGGTCTCCGTCTCTTGACCTTGTGATCCGCCTGCCTTGGCCTCCCAAAGTGCTGGGATTACAGGCATGAGCCACTGCGCCTGGCTGATTCTACTAATATCAACTGACCACTTTTGCTACTGTGTTCTAGGCACTGGGAATACAGCCATGATCTAGACAAAATCATATTCTCATGGAGTTTTCATTTTAATTAGGGAGAGAAACAACTTAAGATAATTCCTAGCTGTGTGGCCTCAGTTTCTTTAACCTTAAAACAGGTATAACAGTAATATTATGGTTGTTTTGAGGATTAAATGAAAAAGGCCAGCGTAGTGGCTCATTCCTGTAATCCCAGCACTTTGGGAGGCAAAGGCAGGAGGATCACAAGGTCAGGAGTTTGAGACCAGCCAGGCCAATATAGTTAAACCCCGCCTCTACTAGAAATACAAAAATGAGCCGAGCGTGGTGGTGCACGCCTGTAGTCCCAGCTATTAGGGAGGCTGAGGCAGGAGAATTGCTTGAACCTGGGAGGCGGAGGTTGCAGTGAGCCGAGATCATGCCGCTGCACTCCAGCCTGGGCAACAGAGCGAGACTCCATCTCAAAAAAAAAAAAAAAAGAAGAAGAAATAAGCCTAAATTACATACATAGTACCTGTGGTAAATGTTCATTATGTGCTCCCTGTTACTGTTACTGGGGAAGGCTTCCTTATCAAGGGTTTCAATCCTCTTTTGTGCTATTTGTAGGTAATTCAGTACCAAACTGTTCGATATGATATCCTCCCCTTATCTCCTGTGTCCCGGAATCGGCTAGGTAAGTATGTGGTGGGAAGCCTCCTTTAGGGTGAAGTAGGGGCTAGCTCTGGGTCAGAGGTCGGTCAATATTATTCCTCCCCACTCTGGTTCAGCCCAGGTGAAGAGGAAGATCCTGGTGCTGGATCTGGATGAGACACTTATTCACTCCCACCATGATGGGGTCCTGAGGCCCACAGTCCGGCCTGGTACGCCTCCTGACTTCATCCTCAAGGTGTGTGGTGGTGGGGAGTGATGAAATGGTTCCATCTGTTCCTCTGCCCAAACCTGGACTCCCTTTCCCAGTCCCAGAGCATCTGTCTCCATCCGCTGGCACCAGTGTCAGCCTGGAGGAGGGAAGCAGATGGGTGGGGCGTTTTCTAGGCCTGGGTTGTGGTGGTCATGACATCCCCCAGCCCATCTTGTTCCTCTGTAGGTGGTAATAGACAAACATCCTGTCCGGTTTTTTGTACATAAGAGGCCCCATGTGGATTTCTTCCTGGAAGTGGTGAGTTTTGGAGAGCTAAAGGGAGCTCTGTAATGAAGGAATGGTTTTAGGGCTCTGGGAATTGGGAGGATTTGGAGGAAGGGGTGAGGAGAAACGGGTTAGAGCAGTTTTCTAGAGGGGAGGCTGTGTAATGGTAGGGGAGTGGCTTTCAGTACTTGGGGTTCATTTGTTGTGCTGATGTAATTCTTTTCCGCTGGCATCTTTCTCTTTTGTTCTTGCATTTCTGAATCATAAGAGTGTAGGATGCCTAACACTGAGTTTGGAGGTTTGGGCTGGGGGTTCAGAATTTCGTGTCCTCAGAGACATTTGATGTTGATGGAAGGCCTGAAGGACTATGCCATTGCCTTTCTGAAAGATAACTGTATGTCTAAAGGAATCATCACCTTGTATGGCATCGCCCTCTCCCCCAATCTATTTCAGGTGAGCCAGTGGTACGAGCTGGTGGTGTTTACAGCAAGCATGGAGATCTATGGCTCTGCTGTGGCAGATAAACTGGACAATAGCAGAAGCATTCTTAAGAGGAGATATTACAGACAGGTAAGCTAGAATCCCAGTCTAAGAGTGTGGCTTGGGAGGGAGGCCACCAGGGAGGGATCTGGGTTTGAGGAGAGTATCCTGGAGAGAGGCCTGCTACATGATCCCCTGCCTTCCAGCACTGCACTTTGGAGTTGGGCAGCTACATCAAGGACCTCTCTGTGGTCCACAGTGACCTCTCCAGCATTGTGATCCTGGATAACTCCCCAGGGGCTTACAGGAGCCATCCAGGTACGGGGGAAGGTGGTGAGTCTGGCAGGACCAGAACATGGTTCTGAGAAGGTATTTTTGCAGGAGACCTGGGCTTTGGTCCTTGAGAGCTGGGATTCCCTAGATTATCCCTAGTTTGCTGTAAGTCGAAATGCAAGTTATTTTTGTGTTTCAAATGAGATACCATATATGTCCATTTCATAAGTCGGATTTCTTATATCATTTTTTTCATTTTTAAAATTTATTTTTGGCTGGGCACGGTGGATTATGCTTGTAATCCCAGCACTTTGGGAGGCCGAGGCAGGCGGATCACGAGGTCAGAAGTTCGAGACCAGCCTAACAAACATGGTGAAACCCCATCTCTACTAAAAATAGAAAAAACTAGCCAGGCGTGGTGGCGCACGCCTGTAATCCCAGCAACTCGGGAGGCTGAGGCAGGAGAATCGCTTGAACCCGGGAGGCGGAGGTTGCAGTGAGCCGAGATTGCACCATTGCACTCCAGCCTGGGTGACAGAGCGAGACGCCGTCTCAAAAAAAATAAATAATAAATAAATAAAAATAAAATTTATTTTTATTTATTTTTTGAGATAGGGTCTCACTCTGTTCCCAGGCTGGAGTGCAGTGTCATGATCATAGCTCACTGCAGCCTCGATCTCCCAGGCTCAAGTGATCCTTCTGCCTCAGCCTCTCAGTAGTTGGGACTACAGGCGTGCACCACCATGCCCAGCTAATTTTTTTATTTTTTATTTTTTTTTGAGACAGAGTCTCGCACTGTCACCCAGGCTGGAATGCAGTGGCGTGATCTCGGCTTACTGCAACCTCCGACTTCCAGGTTCAAGCAATTCTCCTGCCTCAGCCTCCCAAGTAGCTGGGATCACAGGCACCTGCCACCACGCGCAGCTAATTTTTTGTATTTTTAGTAGCGACGGAGTTTCACCACGTTGGCCAGGCTGGTCTTGAATTCCTGACCTCGTGATTCGTCCGCTTTGGCCTCCCAAAGTGCTGGGATTACAGGCGTAAGCCACTGCCCTTGGCCAATTTTTTGATTTTTAGTAGAGAAGGGATCTCATTATGTTGCCCAGGCTGGACTCAAACTCCTGAGCTCAAGTGATCCTCCCACCTCGGCCTCTCAAAGTGTTGGGATAACAGGTGTGAGCCACTGCGCCTGGCCAAGTGTGTTTCAAGTGAGGCACAATGGCAGTAAGCTTGACTAGAAGCATCAATAGGTATGAGATCTGGTGATTAAAACTTAGTTTCGGAGCATAAACCAGGAAAGTTTTACTTAGGTTGTTGACTTCCGGTAGTGGGAGGCATATATTTTTAACAATAATTCCTCCTTCCCTCCAAGAAGAGAAAAACACCGTCTCTCTTGAA
>NW_018654723.1:0-78609 GCF_000001405.40 Homo sapiens | reverse complement strand
TAGAATGCCCCAGAAATAAACTTGGCCCAAGTTTGTGACGGTTCTGGGTATGAAAGAAGTCAGTGTTTCCCAAGTGCCTGCTATGTGCGAGGCTCTGTGCTGGGGCGGGTGCATGTGTGCGTTGGGGGCGTGGACAGGAGGGGTGGGAAAGGCCTGTGACATTTCCTCTGGTGGTTTCCACGAACCCAGGCGTCACCCCTCGGTGGAGATAAAGTGGAGCCACCCAGCTCCACCGTGTCTCAGCCTGGGGTCGGCCTCTGCTGCTTCTGGACTCAGTGACCCTGGGCTGTCAGGGAGCTTCTGAGCCTTGGTTTTCCTGTCGAGTAAGATGGAGGTAATCGTGTCTTATGGGGTTGTTTTGAGGGTTAAATGAGCTGGTGGCTGTGTGGGAAAGAGCTCTGCCTCCCGCAGGGAGGAACTGTGCTGTTCTTATTATTGTGAACTTAGTGACAAGTGTGGCACTATTACCCATTTCCTTGTCTGCCCCCAACCCTGGGGTCTTGGGCAGAGAACAGGAGTTCTTGCCATTTTCTCCCAGCTCCCACCTTGTGCTGGCTTGCGGGTGCTGAGGTCATATTTGCTGGGTGAAAGGGTGCAGGCCAGATATGAGCCAGGCCTGGCAGAGAGGGTTTTGGTCAGCAGTGATACCTGCAGTGTTCTCTGCAGTTGGTTTGGGCTGGCCCTGCTCCTGAGAACTCCTGGGTTGTCCCTTCAGGCAACCAGGGAAGGCTCCTTGGAGCAGCAGCATCTCCCCTTACCACTCGCCGACACCAGCTTCCGCCTGACCCAGAGAAGGAGTTTGGGGACAGCCACAGCACGTCCAGGGCTCCCAAGGCAGCTGGCAGAGCCAATGAGGAGACCCCAACACCCATCCGACGGCTGCAGCTCTCCCTGACGTGTGTCACCCGCAGCCCTGGTCCCAGCCGCTGTGCTTCTCAGGGCCTGCCTGCCCAGCCCGGGTGGATATGGTGCCCAGGCGGGCCCCGGGGACACAATGAGGGCCATTCTCAGAGCCAGGCAGAGCGTGTGGGGCAGTCCTGTCAGTCCTATGTGCAACAGCTGGGATATTGTTTAGGGAGTGCTGGCATCAGGCTGGGGCTCTCCTCCTCTGGCCCTGCCCTTTGGGATGAGCAAGCCCCCAAAGGCCTTCCTGGGTTCCTCTGGTGCACGTGCCCTGGAGTTACCCTTCTGAAGGAGGTAGACTTGTCCTCCTGTCCTGGGTGCCTGGGGTGCAGGGGTGTGAATTGGGCTATGTCAAGATATGCTGGGCAGTACTGTGAGGTGGGGGCAGAGGGGAGAAGGTGTCCCAGGAGGAGCCTTCCTGGAGAGGATGATAGTCCAGCATGTTCTGAAGTGGGAGTAGGGTGCGGCAGGAGTAGGGTACCAGAGAATGAGTGAGTCAGGCAGCAGCCTCCACTGCGCCTTGGACACAGGTGGCTGACAGTGTCCACCTGGACTGGCTTTGCACCCCTTCTGAGGTCACAGTTGTGTCCCTTGAAAACTTGGGCAGGAGCACCTGACTGGCCCAGCTTGGGTCATGCCCTAGGCCCAGCAGTGCGGGAGGCCAGGAAAGTAGGCTTGGGGAGGCTGGCCTCTCCTCCAGTTTGAAGCATGGCAGGGGTTCCGGGGGAGGCTGCTGGGGGGCCTGCGAGCATGTCCAGAGCAGGAATGCTTGGGGTGGTGTGTGCTTTGCTCGTCTGGGCTTATCTGGCCGTGGGGAAGCTGGTTGTGCGGATGACGTTCACTGAGCTGTGCACGCATCATCCATGGAGTCTGCGGTGTGAGTCCTTTTGCCGCTCCAGGGTCACAGCCTGCCTCCCTGCTCCAGCCCCCTGGCTGAGGCCCTTCCTCTGCCCCATGCTCTTCTCAGACAGGAATCCTGTGGAATGTCATCTCTTTGGGGAGGCCGTCTCTGACCCTGTATGCAAAGGCCTTCTCCCACATTATTTTTGGCACCCCACTTTCTTCCCCGTGAAAGCAAATTGTTTGGTGTCTTTCTGTCCCACTACAGTATAGGCCCGGTTCAGACAGAGGCCTTGTCCACTAGGCCTGCGCTATCTCTGCGGAGCCCAGCCAAAGCAGGGGCCAGGCGAATCTTTTGTTAAAAGAACAATGCGCGCTGGGCACAGTGGCTCACGCCTGTAATCCCAGCACTTTGGGAGTCCGAAGCTGGAGGATCACTTGAGCCCAAGAGTTTGAGACCACCCTGGGCAACATAAGGAGAACCCATCTCTACACAAAATTAGCTGGGCGTGGTGGTGTATGCCTGTAGTCCTAGCTACTTGGGAGGCTAAGGTGGGAGGTGGCTGAGGTGGGAGGATCACTTGAGCCTGGGAGGTTGTTGCAGTGAGAGCCATGATCGCGCTACTGGGCAATAGAGCAGAACCCAGTCTCAAAAAAAAAAAAAAAAAAAAAAAAAAAAAAAAAAAAAAAGAACAATCCTATGAAATGAGGGCTGTCATCCAGCAGAGAGGATCTAGATGCTCAGAGAGGCTAAGGGATTTGCCCAAAGTCCCACAGCCGGGCCCAGGTCTGAGTCTGCCTAGTGAGGAAGAAGGAGTGCATGTCCTTAGGGAACAGAACAGGAGGCAGAGAGGCCCGGAGAGGCGGGGGCCCTGGCCAGCTGGAGTGGTCGGTTGTGTACCAGCAGCGTCCAGAGCTCAGGCTGGGCGGGGGCACACCAGCTGACGCAGGCGGGGAAGCTCCTGGTGCCAGGCGCCTGGTGCCACGTGCCCAGCCTGTGAGATGCTTCCCAGCCTGGCTTCAGCGGCCCCAGACTGGGCTGCGGCCGATCAGTGAGCTCATGCCTGGCAGGGCTGGGCTGTGAGGCCAGAGGCCCCAGCCGCTCACCTGGGCCGGGCTTTCCCTCCCTGCAGGGCCCTTCCCTCCACAGAGCCCCCGGCCTCCCTGCCTGTGCTCCCTCAGCCTCTCTGAGTGCCTGGCCCTGCCTGATGGGGCCTCTGCCAGCCTTTCCTGGGCCACCCTCCTAGGAGGTGAGGGGCCTTCGCGGGGCGGTCCCCTCTGTCTAAACCCCCACCTTCTCTGACTTGGCTGGAGGGGAATTTTCCTGTGACTCACTCTGCTGGCACTTCCTGTGGTCACCAGGGCAGGGGCTGGGGGACCCGGAGGGGCAGCTCTGTGGTGTGTAGGGTCACTGGGGAAGGGTGGCCCGCCCCCGATGGGCTGTGATTCCCAGAGGCAGGCTGCAGACCATATTTGGGAAATGCTTGTCTTGCTGGCCGCCTGGGATGGGGGCCCTGAGCCCGGTGGGCTGCAGGACAGCCCCCGCCCTCCCGCTCCTCTGTGGGGCTCTGGCCCCTAGACCTGCCGCACTGCCTGTCCCGTCCTGCCTCAGAGCCTGGGACATAGTCCACCGTTTTCTTTTTTTTTCTTTTTGTGTAGTTTTTCAGCCCCAAAGCAAGAAACACTCATTCCTGAAAAACAGGAAGAGAAAGTATCTCCATTGTCTCAGACATCTCTGGTGTCTTCCTGACCCTCTCCTGTCTTTACGTTTCACAGGACATTTTCTTGAGATGTGCTTTTCACTTGAGTGCCTTTTTCATTTTGTTGTAATCATGGTGTGGACAGTGTTGCAGCCATCCAGGGCCTCTGCCCTTGTGCTCACCTTGGCTCCAATATGACTCCACCTGGGCCTGCCCTCTCCTAGCTGCCCCCTGGCCCCTCCCTTGGGCCTTGCTCCTCCTGGCTCTCCACACTCCAGCCTCTGGCCCTTTTAGGGACTGGAGGCTCCTAGCTGCTCTGGAGAAATGGGCTCCCTGCTGATGATGTCCACCCAGGGCAAGTGAACCATGGGGTCTGAATGTCTGATCCTGGGACCTGGGGCAACTACTGCCTACCCAGGCCGCTGCCTGGTATGCCATCGCCCTCTGATGCCGGCCAGGGAGATGGCGCTCAGAGGGGCACTGTCCAGCCCCTGCTCATATAGGGGAGGAGGGTGGGCCCTAGGGACTTGAAAGAGGCCTCACCCCCACTCCTCTGCCCCAAGGCACAGGCTCCTGCTTCCTGTTTCTGCCCAAGGGGGCGTGGCCCTTTCTTCCTTGTTTCACTCCTTGCAGATGGAGTCCAGAAAGTGGGACTTGGGCCCAAGTGGGGATGGTCACACAGCTACTGGCTGGCCAGAACCCAGGTCCCATTTCCGAGTCAGAGTCTCGACCAGGCTGCACATCTAAGACGCCAGGAGACTCTGAGGAGGGACCTTGCAGGGCAGCCCAGAGCTGAGGCCAGGCTGGTGGGGTGGCTGGAGCCCAGTGCCGGTCACTGTCCAGCCAGCCTGGCACTGTTCTCACACCCGGCTTCCCTGTGTGTGAAGTCTGGGGCCCCTGTGGAACCCATGCAGCCCTCTGCTGCCCTAGGAGGGGCCGCAGCCCTGGCCTTGTCTCACCCCGTGCCTCCCTCACACCTGCCTTTTGCTGCAACCGCCCACACCCTCCAGCCAGGGATCCTCTGTCTCTCTGGGCCCATCCTGCGCCTGGCACCTCGATGGGGCAGCAGCGGCAGGGGCGAGGATGCATGAGTGTGTGGTGGGAAACTGCGAGGCCTCCCTGCCTGGGCTCTAGTGTCCCAGCGAGGCTCCGCCCCTGCCCTCGCCACGGCACTCATGCCTCTGATCCCACAGCCTCCTCCAAGTCCCTCTCGGACTGCTTGGCTCCTGGGCCACATGGAGCACGTACCCGGCTCTGCAAGGGTTTGCTGAGGGCGACGGGGCCAGGACAGGGAGGGTGTGCCTCCTGTTTCTTTCCCAGCCTTGGGGAAGGTGTTTGAAGTTTCTAAATTAATTACTGACTTTTTGGATTTTGGGTAGATAGACTTTGTTAAGGAAGCTCTGTCTTATTGTTGTTCATTTTTTTATCCTAAGAAGCTGTTCTTTTTGTCAGATTATTTTCGTGCACCTCGAGAGAGAACCATTTGCTATTTGTTTTAACTTGGCAGCATTGTCGTGATTACTGCCGCTCTCCTTGTGTTGGTCCAGGTAGCAGAGTGGCCTTGGGTGGGGCTTTTAGGGATATCTTGAGGGTCATCCCTGGAGTTTTGGTGGTGACAGTGGTCAAGAGGATTTTGAGGTGCTATACAGGTGCAGTTGAAAGAAAGGCCAGGATCAGCTGGGCCTTTCTGCTGGGGAACAGGTGGGGACAGTGGAGGCAAAGGCACAATGATCTCGCCAAACTCCACTGAGTTCTTTTCCTAGTATCAAAGCTGGGCACCTCCCCAGAGCAGGGCAGGAGCTGGGGAGCCCCTGACGCCCCATGCACATCCTTCTGTTCTCACACCTGTGTCCTCTCTCCCCAGAACGTGCTGGCCAAAGCGCTCTATGACAATGTGGCCGAGTCCCCGGATGAGCTCTCCTTCCGCAAGGGTGACATCATGACGGTGCTGGAGCAGGACACGCAGGGCCTGGACGGCTGGTGGCTCTGCTCGCTGCATGGGCGCCAGGGCATCGTGCCTGGGAACCGCCTCAAGATCTTGGTGGGCATGTATGATAAGAAGCCAGCAGGGCCTGGCCCCGGCCCTCCCGCCACCCCGGCCCAGCCTCAGCCTGGCCTCCATGCCCCAGCGCCTCCGGCCTCCCAGTACACGCCCATGCTCCCCAACACCTACCAGCCCCAGCCAGACAGCGTCTACCTGGTGCCCACTCCCAGCAAGGCTCAGCAAGGCCTCTACCAAGTCCCGGGTCCCAGCCCTCAGTTCCAGTCTCCCCCAGCCAAGCAGACATCCACCTTCTCGAAGCAGACACCCCATCACCCGTTTCCCAGCCCGGCCACAGACCTGTACCAGGTGCCCCCAGGGCCTGGAGGCCCTGCCCAGGATATTTACCAGGTGCCACCTTCTGCCGGGATGGGGCATGACATCTACCAGGTCCCCCCGTCCATGGACACACGCAGCTGGGAGGGCACGAAGCCCCCGGCAAAGGTAAGGCTGTCCTGGCACAGTTGTGCAGCCACACAGGTATAGCCCAGGCCCTGGTTTGTGGGCACAGAAGGGCCCAGCCACCCTCAATCACCGGCATTCCAGGAGTGGCTGTGTGTTTGGTCTGGGGTCAAAGTGGGAAGTGAGTGTTTGGGGGGTGTTCATTTGTCCGGGGAAGATGGATGTGAATGGACCCAGAGGGGAGATGCTCCGCTGGCCTCAGCCAAGCCGACCCGAGTGGTGGTGTCACCAACCACAGGGAGCAGCCTGTTGAGGCGTTCCAGTGGGCAGGCGGGGCTTGGCACATGGGGTCGGCAGTAGCTGGGCCCCCGCAAGGGAGAGGCCAGCCACTTCATGCTCAGGCTCCCCTGTGCCATCTGGGTTTACGTGTCAGCCTCTAGATGGGGTTCCGGCACATCTTCTGGCCGCCCCTGCCTCCACAGGCCAACCCCTCTCCACTTATGGAACATGCTAGGGGCCAGCGGGTGCGTATGGTGATCTGGATGTGACTCCTGGGAGGACGCTGCCCCTGAGATTGCTAGAGGAGGACTGCCCTGAGAGCCTCCTGGGCTCTTGCTGATGGGATGCTGGGCCTGGGGACAAGACCTCTGGCCTCCAGACCCTGAGCCCGCTTCCCAAGTCCACAGGGCCCCTGCCTCCCAAGCTCACCTGCCTGTAGGAAGGAGTCAGCACTAGACACTCAGCCCAGGGCTGAGGTGGAGACCTCATTGGTGCCAGCTGGGCAGCGAGTCAGCTGGGAGTTACCCCCACCCCCGCCCATGGGTGGCCTGGTACCCAGGAGGCATGGCCGGAGGTCGTTGGCAGGTGGGGGACTCCATGGACATGGGCCACCAAGCCTGGCCACCAGGGGAACCTGGGTCACTGGCTCCCACTTCCTGCTCTACCTGCTCCTTCAGCCATCTGGTCAGAGGCGAGCCTGGCTGGCGTGGGGTGCCTGGGTGGGGGTGCTCCCAAACTGGCTTTAGCAAGAGGAGCAGGGTCCTGTTATCCCCTGGGGAGGCGGCAGGGAGCAGTGTCCTGTAGGGGAGCCTCAGGCCACAGTCCAGGTATACCCACACCCCACACAGATGAACACACGTGCATGATGCCTGTACCCCACAGATACGAACACCCATGCACACACCATATGCACGAACACACACATGCGCTACATGAATGTGCGTGAATACATGCACATATCTGCATCCCATACCCCATAAATGGACACACGTATACGCCCACACATGCGCACATCATATGCATGAACACGCACACACCCAAACCCCATATGTGTAAACACACGTGCATAGTCACCCCACACACAGACACGTGTACGTCCACACATACAAAGCATGTGCACCCACCAGTATCCCACAAACGTACAAATGTATGTGCGTGTGCACACGCACACACAGTCCACACTGCACATGCCCCAAGGTCAGGCACATCCCCACCCCTCCTCTCCCGCCTTTGCAGTGAAGCTTGTCCTGGTGCGGCTGGAAGCCCTGTGGGCTGGGGAGCAGCAGCGAGACCCCCAGACAGAGCCCGGCCTCGAGGCTGTGTTTTGGCAGCTGTTCTGTCTCCGTCTCCGGCAGGGGGCCTGCTCTCAATTGCATCAGGGGCTCAGCCAGCTGGGTCCTTCTCTGCCCATGCCCACTGGTAGAGCTGCCCAGACCTGTGCCCCAAGGGCCCTGACCTGGCTGATGGCCCAGGAAGGAGAGCCCTGTGTCCTGGGCCTGGCTGCTCTCCCCCAGGAAACCTCCCCCAGTCTTGATTGTGTCTGCTTGTATTTTATGATCACAAAAGCAATGCTTGTTTGCTGTAGAAAATGCATAATGTATGGGAAAGTCTGGAGATGAAATTTTCCAATCGCGGTAATCACTGGGAAATTCTGGCATATTTTGTCTAGTATCTGCCCTGTGTTTCACAGATTTATACATGCAGTTTTGCATTTCAAAGTTGTAAATCCAACATTAGATATCAAAAGCATTTTGTTGAATTCTTAAAGCTTGTCCCTGAGCCGCCTTGGACTTTGCTGGGTTGCCCCCTCTGCTGGGGCGGGCCCTGGGCAGTTTCCGATTGCTCATGTCTTCATTACGGTGGCACGGCGGTAACACCTGGCTGCGGGACATCTGCGTCTGAACCTCCAGGTGCTCCCCTCCAAGCCTCAGGCCTGCCCCTCAAATGCCTGGGAAACTGAGTCTCCCAGTTCCAGGGTAGTGGTTGGCTGGGCTGAGAAGGAGCCCTTGCCAGGACTTCACGTGGGCGGGAGGGACACTGGCTCTCAGGAAGCCAAGAGGGTGAGTGACAAGGATGGTGGCCAGGAGGGTCAGAACCCTGGGCCCTGGAGCAGGGTCCAGTGGTTGCTAAGGTGGGAGCCTGGTGGCCCGTATGGCTGAGGGAGAGGTGAGGGCCACACTGGCACCGAGACTCTTTGGGCCGGGTGTGGGCTGTAGGAATCTGAGGGCAGAGGCTCTTTCATGGTCAGATGGGACCCCCGGGGGAAGGCGTCTGTGGGAGGTCGCTCAGGTAGTGCCCCTGGTCAGTGTCTAAGGAGACAGCCATGGCGTGAGGTCAGGCGTGCACGTGGTCCTGTCGGGCCTGTGTTTCACCCTCCTCGCCCTAGAAGCTTCATCTTGCCCCAGGCTCCCCTGTGCTGGGACCTCAGGCTGGGGTGCCTGGAGCTGGGGAGGGAGGGGAGCGGGCTATGGTGGTGGCCCCTCAGGCCACCATGACCCAGGTCGGGTGAGCCCCTCATGCTGGGGTGTGTCCTGGTGGCCGTGGTCGCAGCGCTCCTGTGGTGCTCCATTTCCCAAGGAGGAAACGAGGCTCCTGGATTGGGACCTGGGGGTGCCAGAGCCGGGAGCCAACCCAGGTCAGGGGCGACACCCATTTTGCAGAAGGGGGAGACCAGCCACTGAGCTCCAGGGCGGGGGCCCACTTTGTCCCCTTCCTCCGACCTGACACCTGCCTCTGGGGCCCTTACCGGGAGGCTGGGATGTATTCCTGAGTTCGCTTGTCCCCCCGCTTGATGCCTGATCGTAGGGGAGGAGAGGGGCGGCACCCTGGCCCTGGGGCTGCCTGGGTTCTGTGCGTGCACCTGGCAGTGGGCCTGTGCTGTGTTTTCTCTGCATTGTATGAGGCATGTGTGTCAGAGACCGTGTGGGTCTTATGTCAGTGACTGTGCCTCTGTTCTCTCCTCCTGGGCTCTGGCTGTGTTCCCCTAACCCCCGGGGGACCTCCACGGCCTGCTAGTGGGGTCTCAGGTGTGCAGCAGGGTGGCCTGTGATTAGCAGTGGGGCTGAGTCATTCCCCTAAAGAGCTTTTCCCCCTGGTGGCTGCGTTGCTCTGTTTTTCTAACAGAAACATTTGGTCACTGTGGCTGCCTACTGCCACCCGACTCAGCTCCAAGAGTGGCAGGCGGCCATTTGCCTGGGGAGGCAGGCCTGGGTCCAGCTGCACCCCTGGGCCTCACCGCGTGAGGTTGGGATGGCCACCGGCAGGGTGCTTTTGGAGGATGCTCATCCCTCCTGCTGGTGCTGGGTCCTGGCTGAGCCTTGAGGCTGGGTCCCCACCTGCCTTTGGGAGGCTGGGAGGCCTGGAGAAGCCTCAGGCCGTGCCTCGAGGCCCAGCCAACCTGCCACGTCCCTCCGCCCCGCCTGCCCCGCTGTTGGCAGGTCCCTGCATCTAAAAATAGTTCTGGAGGAGACTCAAGTCTGGGGCGCGTGGAGGGAGATGAGTCTGGAGAGGCAGCCGCCAAATCCACTCCCAGACGCACTGGAAGGGGGCGGGGACACCCCACGGAGGCCCCCAGCCGGGACTCTGCTACCAGGCGTGCTGGAGACCTAGTGGGCCCAGCTCTGCTGCGCTGCGGGGGGCTCTGCCAGGCCTGCGGCTGCTGGGGGGTGCTGGCGCCTCTGCCACCCCCATGCTCAGCGCCCCCCTCACAGCACCCTCAGCAAGCAGGGCTGGCTGCCTGCCTGCATTGGGAGGGCCTCTAGGGGTTCAGGGGCACTGGGCCCGGGGGAGGGGCTGCTTTGGCGCTGCTGCCCTGGGGGATGTGCGGGGAGGCCCTGAGTCAACCCTGTCCCAGACATCCCCTTTGATGAAGGAACAAAAGGTCTTTCAGTGGAGAGAGCTGAACAGGGAGCCTGGTGGTGGAGGCGTGTGGGCGCAGTGTGCCCGGGGGCTGGAGAATCCCACCAGGGAGGCCTTGACCTCCCCAAGGCAGGGAGACCTTCAGGGAAGGAGGCTGCCTGGCATGGCCCCTACCCGCTTCAGGCTGGTGCTGGTGAGGGGTCCTGTGGCCCTGGGCAGGCCATTGTGCTGCCTGCCTCTTCACCCACTGTGCGGGCCTTGGCTTCCCTGGGCTCTGGGTCATGGTAAGAGCACCTGGGGAGGGGAGGGCTGGCCCTGGACCCACTTCCCCCACTAGGCCTCATCCTTTCAGGTCGCTGGGGATCTTACCTGCTGCAGGCAGCTCCCCCGGGGCAGGCGCGGCAGGGAGGGGGCCTTGGTCCCAGCTGCTGCGCCCCCCAGCACACACCCAACCTGCCCCTCTGGCCCTGTCCTCCAGAGTCTCCCCATGCTGTGCTGTGGGGCAGGGGGTGCTAGGCTCTATCTGGTCCTGGGCCGGATGCAGTCCCCTGCTGGGCCAACCCTTCTGAGGAGGCTACAGCTAGGTGGTGTGGGCAGCAGACTCCCAGGCCTCCGACGTGGCCTCTTGTCCTGTGGGGCTAGGCGCCCCAGTAACGGGGGGTTCCTTGCCTGTGGGTAGTGCCCTCCAGAGCCAGGGCCTCAGCCCCTCACCCCACCGGTGTCATCAGCTCATACCCATGCTCCTCTGTGGAGCCTTCTGGGTCAGCAGGCTGTAGAGACGTTGGTGTCCTGGCCCAGGACGAGGCAGCTCTGAATAAAACCCAGAGTTCTTGCCGTACCTGGCACTGCGTTCTGCTAGAGGAAGGTCAGATGGTGCAGAGGGGGTGAGAACTGGCATCCTTGGGGAGCCCCGTCCCTTCCACCTGGTGTGCCCTGCCCACCTCCTAAAAGGACGTGGCTCCCAGGTGTGAGTGGAGCCTCCCTAAGGGCTGGTTTGAGGGCAGCAGTGAAGTCGGCTCTCTGCCCCCAGGTGGTGGTGCCCACCCGCGTGGGGCAGGGCTATGTATACGAGGCCGCCCAGCCGGAGCAGGACGAGTACGACATCCCGCGACACCTGCTGGCCCCGGGGCCACAGGACATCTATGATGTGCCCCCGGTTCGGGGGCTGCTTCCCAGCCAGTATGGCCAGGAGGTAGGTGTGGGGTGCGCAGCGGTGGGAGGGCAGGGCGGCAAGTCTGTGCCTCTGCTTGGCCCTGGGCCGAGAGCTGCATCTTCTCAGCCCCGGCCAGGCCTGGGGACGGTGCTGCGGGGTTCCCACCTTTCCTATTCCCCCAAGTGGCCCTGGCGCCGTTAACCCTGCACTGTTTCTGCCCCAGGTGTATGACACACCCCCCATGGCTGTCAAGGGTCCCAATGGCCGAGACCCGTTGCTGGAGGTGTATGACGTGCCCCCCAGTGTGGAGAAGGGCCTGCCACCGTCCAACCACCACGCAGTGAGCAAATGCCAGGGCAATGCCAGGGCCAGGCTGAGGCTGTGGGGTGTCTGGGTGTGTGCACAGGGGTGCTGACCAGTGTCTGCAGGGCTGGGGGTGGCGGGCAGGAAGAGACTGGCTCCAGACCCTGGTTCTGGATGGTTGACAGATGAGGAAATCAAGCTGTCTTCTGAGCCTCAGGTTCTTTGTCGGCAGAACCGCCTGTTGCGAGGCCTTCTCCATGAGCTCCTGAGAGGGTATCCGCAAGGTGACCACGGGATGTGTCATCTCACCTGGGATACTTCCAAGAGTGAAGGGGGGACTAGTAATTATGTGGGGGCATCAGGGACAAACCAGCACTGTCCTGGGCAAACCAGAATTTGGTCCCCTGATAATACACACAGAGCTCAGTCGCACACCTGCTGCAGAGTAGAAAGTTCACACGTGGTGGTGGTGCTGGGTGGTAACAGTGATGGTGGTGATGAGGTGGCAGCGGCGGTGATGGTGATGAAATCATGATATGATGGTGGTGGCAGTGGCAGTATCACAGCTAACCTTTCAGTGAGTGTCTGCAGTGACACAATTATGTGAATTAACACATGCAATTCTTTGGGAGGAAGCTCTCCCACCTTCAGGCACAGGGGTGGTCACCTGGCTCCAGAGCCGGCTCGTCCCAGAGCTGTCATGGATAGGAATTGTGAAGGATGTGTGTGCTAGGGCTGCGAGTGTGTGTGTGCGTGTGTGTGCCTGTGTGCGTGCCTCTGCATTTGTATGTGTGCCTGTGTGTGTGCGCGTGCCTCTGTGTGTGTGTCTGTATGTGTGTACGTGTGTGTGTGTGTGTGGCTGGGTGCTGCCCCCAGTCCCTGGGGTGGGCAGATGGACAGATGGACAGTCTTGACCACCGCTTGTCCCCCAGGTCTACGACGTTCCTCCATCGGTGAGCAAGGATGTGCCCGATGGCCCACTGCTGCGTGAGGAGACCTACGATGTGCCCCCCGCCTTCGCCAAGGCCAAGCCCTTTGACCCGGCCCGCACCCCACTGGTACTGGCTGCGCCCCCTCCAGACTCCCCGCCGGCCGAGGACGTGTATGACGTGCCGCCCCCGGCTCCTGACCTCTACGACGTGCCCCCTGGCTTGCGGCGGCCTGGCCCGGGCACCCTGTACGATGTGCCCCGTGAACGGGTGCTTCCTCCTGAGGTGGCTGATGGTGGCGTGGTCGACAGTGGTGTGTATGCGGTGCCTCCCCCAGCTGAACGTGAAGCCCCGGCAGAGGGCAAGCGCCTGTCGGCCTCCAGCACCGGCAGCACACGCAGCAGCCAGTCTGCGTCCTCCTTGGAGGTGGCAGGGCCGGGCCGGGAACCCCTGGAGCTGGAAGTTGCTGTGGAGGCCCTGGCACGGCTGCAGCAGGGTGTGAGCGCCACCGTTGCCCACCTTCTGGACCTGGCAGGCAGCGCCGGTGCGACTGGGAGCTGGCGTAGCCCCTCTGAGCCACAGGAGCCGCTGGTGCAGGACCTGCAGGCTGCTGTGGCCGCCGTCCAGAGTGCCGTCCACGAGCTGTTGGAGTTTGCCCGCAGCGCGGTGGGCAATGCTGCCCACACATCTGACCGTGCCCTGCATGCCAAGCTTAGCCGGCAGCTGCAGAAGATGGAGGACGTGCACCAGACGCTGGTGGCACATGGTCAGGCCCTCGACGCTGGCCGGGGAAGCTCTGGAGCCACCCTTGAGGACCTGGACCGGCTGGTGGCCTGCTCGCGGGCTGTGCCCGAGGACGCCAAGCAGCTGGCCTCCTTCCTGCACGGCAATGCCTCACTGCTCTTCAGACGGACCAAGGCCACTGCCCCGGGGCCTGAGGGGGGTGGCACCCTGCACCCCAACCCCACTGACAAGACCAGCAGCATCCAGTCACGACCCCTGCCCTCACCCCCTAAGTTCACCTCCCAGGACTCGCCAGATGGGCAGTACGAGAACAGCGAGGGGGGCTGGATGGAGGACTATGACTACGTCCACCTACAGGTGGGTGCCGCCTGCCCAGCCCCGGCTCCTCTTCTGCCACGCTGGGCTCCTGTGCTTAGGGGGAGATTTGTTCTCAGCTGGGGCCTGGTCCCTGGCAAGGCCCTGCACCCTCCTCTCACTTTGACCTCCCTCACCCCACATTGGCCCCATGTGCTAGGGTGGCCATGTCATCGAGCCCTTCGTTGAGTCCCTCGGGCTGGTATCTCTGGTGACCAGCAGCGGTGACTCTGCTGTTCTGTGTGGGGAGACAGATCTGCAGAAATGTGCACACACACAAGGATGCTCTGAGCGTGGGGGAGCAGCAGGAGGTGGTGGGAGGTGGCTGGGACTGCTCCTCCCAGGCTGGCCCCTGGAGCAGAGGCCTGGGTGCTAGCCGGGTGGGAGTCCTGGTAAGGAACATTCCAGGCTGAGCTGGGCCAGAGAGGCATCCAGGGGCAGGGACCAGGTGGCCAGGCCTTTAGGCCAAGGGGGAGGGATTGGGTGTGATTCCTGGTGTTGGAGCCTGGGAAGGCAGGGTGGAGCTTGCGGACTTTCTGCGGGTGCCCCACCCTCTGCCCAGTCTCTTCCTGAGCTGGCAGGCGGTGAAAGGGGCTGCCAGGGTTGCTTCCTAGGAAGCCACCTTCTCTGTGTGTCCCCGCATGTGCCAGCCTGGGGGGGCTGTGTCCCCACATATGCCAGCCTGGGGGAGTGTGTGTGTGTGTGTGTGTGTGTGTGTGTGTGTGTCTGCCTGCCCCTGCACGTGCCAGTCTGTGTGTGTGTTCACGTGTGCTTGTGTGTGTGTGTGTGTCCACGTGTGCTAGTGTGTGTGTGCGTCCACGTGTGCGTGTGTGTGCGCGCACACGCAGCACCACCTGGTGGCCACTCAGCTCACTGCGCCCGCCACAGGGCTGGCCTGTGCTTCTGGCTCAGAAAACTGGCCTCAGCGCAGCCCCTGTCTCTGCCCTCCAGGGGAAGGAGGAGTTTGAGAAGACCCAGAAGGAGCTGCTGGAAAAGGGCAGCATCACGCGGCAGGGCAAGAGCCAGCTGGAGTTGCAGCAGGTGAGGCCCCGGAGCAGAGCAAGGCCCAGCTTTGCCCGCTGACCCCCTGAGCCCCCAGCTCTTGCCCCGCAGGGCCGACCCCGGGTCCCCAGCTTCTCATGTTGTCTGACAGTGCTCAGAGCTGGGCCCGGCCTGCCACCCCCCTGCCTCCTGACCATCTTCATCTTTTCACTTGGTTTATTTTAAAGTTTTCAAGAGTAATTGTTGGAGACATTTAGGGAATTAGAGAGTGGGGTGAGAGCAGAAAATAGACCCCTCACAGCTGCCATAGGCTCAGCACGGGGCTGGCTCTGCCCTGCTCCTTCCTCCAAGCTGCTCCCTGCATGGCCGGGATGGTGTCCTGTGGGCATTCGACTCTTCTGTCCCAGCATCTGCCATGGCGTTAAGCATTCTTGTGGATTCTTTCAAAGACCACTTAGCGTCTATTGAATGTTTGTATTGTACCCACACTTCCTTAGTATTTTTTTTTTTTTTGACACAGAGTCTTGTTCTGTCACACAGGCTAGAGTACAGTGATGCGATCTCAACTCACTGCAGCCTCAACCTTCTGGGCTCAAGCGATTCTCCTGCCTCAGCCTCCCCAGTAGTTGGGATTACAGGCGCCTGCCACCACACCTGGCTGATTTTTATATTTTTTATAGAGACAAAGGTTTCACCACATTGCCCAGGCTGGTCTCAAACACCTGGGCTCAAACGATCCACCTGCCTTGGCCTCCCAAAGTGCTGGGATTATAGTGTGAGCCACCACATCTGGCCCCTTATTATAAATATACTGCTGTGTTTATATGCAGACATGTTAATAGAATTTTCCTCATATTTTGAATCAGTTCTTCAGGGTAGGAAAGAGGTATGTAAAAAAACACTAAGGGAGCTTTATTCTGATTATGAAGATAATTTTAAAAGTGAAAATACAGGATAGCACGAAGTGAACATAAAAATATCACCCGTCAAATCTCCCTCGCCTACCTTCTGGGCACCAAGGAGGTGGCAGAGGCAGGGGCCTGAGACCCACGACACACAGCAGTGAGGCTGCAGCCGCCTCATGAGAGCTCGGTGAGAATCACTGAAAAGTGGAAGATGCCTGGGAAGTACCTGGCACATGGAGACACTCAGGAGAGGCTAGACATTGACATCTCAGAACGGTGGCAGGGTGGCAGGGGGTGGGGGCTGAGAAATTACCTAATGGGTACATTGTACCCACATAACAAAACTGCACCTGCACCCCTGTTAAATCTACTAAAGAAAACACCCAAGAAAAGAATAAATGTCACACCTGTAATCCTAACACTTTAGGAGGCTGAGGCAGGAGGATCACTTGAGGCCAAGGGTTTGAGACCAGCCAGGCCACGTAGTGAGACCCAAGTCTGTATACATTAATACAAATTGTGGCCAGGCACAGTGGCTCACACTTGTAATCCCAGCACATTGGGAGGCCAAGGCGGGCAGATCACTTGAGGTCACGAGTTTGAGACCAGCCTGGTCAACATGGCAAAACCCCATCTCTACTAAAAATACAAAAATTGGCCAGCATAGTGGCACACGCCTGTAGTCCCAGCTACTTGGGAAGCTGAGGCAGGAGAATCATTTGAACCCAGGAGGCGGAGCTTGCAGTGAGCCGAGATTGCGCCACTGCACTCCAGCCTGGGCGACAGGGTGAGATTCCGTCTCAAAAAAAATAAAATAAAATTGTTTTAAAAACCTCCTGGGTGCCGAGGCGGGCGGATCACCTGAGGTCGGGAGTTCGAGACCAGCCTGACCAACATGGAGAAACCCCATCTCTACTAAAAATACAAAACAATTAGCTGGGCATGGTGGCACATGCCTGTAATCCCAGCTACTTGGGAGGCTGAGGCAGGAGAATCGCTTGAACCCAGGAGGCGGAGGTTGCGGTGAGCCGAGATCGCACCACTGCACTCTAGCCTGGGCAACAAGAGCGAAACTCCGTCTCAAAAACAAAAAACCTCCTGAAATATCAACAATATATAGGTCTATATCTCTGTCTAGAGAGAGAACTCTGGGATCGCCTTGTTTTCAGAAGTGGTCGTGTACTTTGTCCGTCCTCTGTGTGCCTCCAGCACTGACTTCACCAGTCCCCTGCTGTTGGACACTTAGGCTGTTCCCAGAGTTTTACTTTTGTGAACAGTGCTGTGATGAATACTAGTC
Source organism: Homo sapiens (assembly GCF_000001405.40). Taxonomy (NCBI): domain Eukaryota; kingdom Metazoa; phylum Chordata; class Mammalia; order Primates; family Hominidae; genus Homo; species Homo sapiens. The sequence continues at coordinate 61,899 of NW_018654723.1, read as the reverse complement.
TTTGCACGTATCTGATGAATCACTTAGATAACTTGCTAGAAGCTGGATTAAAGGGCAAGAATATATGTGAAGAACTTTAAAGATGTAGAATTCCAAGGCCAAGGACATAAAGTCCATGTTAAATGCAAGTCCATGAAGACTTACTGATGAGAACATCTGTTGCCCCATTTTTGTATCGGTGAAGAATCTGAAATCTCCACCCACAAAGTGTCTAATAGGAGAGTATTGATTCAATAAAGTATGGACATTTATGCAGTGGGATATTATATAACTATGAAGAGTTGTCAAAGAATAAAAAGGGCTGGGTGCAGTGGCTCACGCTTGTAATCCCATCACTTTGGGAGACAGAGGCGGGAGGATCATCTGAGGTCAGGAGTTTGAGACCAGCTTGGCCAACATGGTGAAACCCCATCTTTACCAAAAATACAAAAATTAGCCAGGGGTGGTGGCGCAGGCCTGTAATCCCAGCTGAAGCAGGAGAATCGCTTGAACCCAGGAGGCAGAGGTTGCAGCGAGCCGAGATCGTGCCACTTCACTTCAGCCTGGGCGATAGAGCAAGACTCCATTTAAAAAAAAAAAAAAAAAGATTAGCCTGGGTGACAGATCAAGACTCCTTCTTTATAAAAATAAAAATAGTATTGAAAAAAAAAAAACCCCACAAAGCTTGTTGCCTGTGCTCTGTCAGGGCTCACTGCAGCCTGGACTTCCCAGACTCAAGTGATTCACCTGCCTCAGCCTCCCAAAGTGCTGGGATCACAGGCATGAGCCACCTCACCCTGCCTCATCAGAGCTTTTCAAAGAAAAAAAGCGGAGTATGTATCTCACTGGCTAAGGGAACGGAGAGATGGAGGATTTCACCAAGTGGCTGCCTAAGGGGGACAGTGCGAGGTTCTAAGTGTTAGGAAGGGGAGGTTTCCTATTGGTTTTGCTCATTGTGGCTTGGATCTTTGCGCCTAGGGTGGCACAGAGCTTACCAGTCCTGAGTCTGGGTGTGGCTGGTCACTTCCGGAGCCAGAGCGGCTCTAGTGAGGACACATTGTCCCCTTCAGCTGACTCCTAGGCACGGGAGTGGAAATGTTAACTTTCGTGTGTGGTTCTGGAAGATGATTTAGCAGAGGTTCTATTTAGGGGCATTGGATTACAGGTGACATCTTCGTTTTTTCTGTTTGATATATTTGAATCTTTTTATAATGTGTATGTTACTTTTGAACTAAGGGGAAAATTTTTTTAACCTTCCATTTTGAAATATTTATAGATTCACAGGAAGTTGCAAAGATAGGGTCGAGGGGTCCCCAGTGCCCTTCAGCCATTTTCCCCAGTGCCACGTCTCAAGTCACGTGGGACAGTACCCAAGCCAGGACGGTGACCCCCCGACCCCAGGCAGCCACTTTTCTGTTGTCCATCTTGTCATTTCAAAAATGTTCAGGGCACGGAGTCTGACCTTTTGAGACTGGTGGAAGGGTAACTGAACAACCTCCAGAAGGCTTGCCATGGTTCCTGGTCCCGTCCCCGGGAGAGGAGACTGCCCGTTTCCCTGCAGTCCCATGCACTCTGAGTAGCGGCCCTTTTAGAGAAGCCCAGCCCAGGGTGCCCAGGTCTCGGCCTGTGGTTCCAACTCACCCGAGAGCCTAACCCTGCTCCTGCTTCCCTCCTGCCCCAGCTGAAGCAGTTTGAACGACTGGAACAGGAGGTGTCACGGCCCATAGACCACGACCTGGCCAACTGGACGCCAGCCCAACCCCTGGCCCCGGGGCGAACAGGCGGCCTGGGGCCCTCGGACCGGCAGCTGCTGCTCTTCTACCTGGAGCAGTGTGAGGCCAACCTGACCACACTGACCAACGCCGTGGACGCCTTCTTTACCGCCGTGGCCACCAACCAGCCGCCCAAGATCTTTGTGGCGCACAGCAAGTTCGTCATCCTCAGCGCCCACAAGCTGGTGTTCATCGGGGACACACTGTCACGGCAGGCCAAGGCTGCTGACGTGCGCAGCCAGGTGACCCACTACAGCAACCTGCTGTGCGACCTCCTGCGCGGCATCGTGGCCACCACCAAGGCCGCTGCCTTGCAGTACCCATCGCCTTCCGCGGCCCAGGACATGGTGGAGAGGGTCAAGGAGCTGGGCCACAGCACCCAGCAGTTCCGCCGCGTCCTAGGCCAGCTGGCAGCCGCCTGAGGGTGGTGACCCCAGGAGGGAGGCAGGGGAGGGGTGCGGCGGTCCCAGCTCCCTGGCTCCCATGTCAAGAGTCGCTGTGCCACAGGCTTAGGGACAGGACCCCAGCTCTGCGTCGGTCCTGGTGCCCTGGATGCCCAGGAATCTGTATATATTTATGGCCGGGCAGGGTGTGGGGCCATGCCTCCTCAGGAGCCGAAGCCCAGGGGCCGGCCAGTGGCCTTCCCCAGCATGCACCACGGGCCCGGGTTGGGTCACCAGACGGGGCTGGAGTGTGAGGGTCCTGCAGCCTGCAGGACCTCGTGCCACCCCGAGGGCTGAGCCTGGTCCCACGAGGGTGCCGTGTCCCCTGACAGGGCCAGTGCAGTTTGGTGTGTCCTCCGCCTTACCAGGAGAAGAACCTGAAGAACTATTTTTCGTTATTGGTTTTCCAATCATTTGACTAAGAGTCTCCATTTAAATAAAGTTTTTAAAAGGAAGAGCAGCTGCCTGAGGGTGGCAGATGAGAGCAGCCCGGGGTGGGTGACGGTTCTGGGGAAGGCACCCGGGGGCAAGGGCCATGCGTGGCATCTCCCGGGAGGGCAGAGGAGGAGTGGGTCTCTCTAGAAGAAAACCAAGGAACGCCGAGGCTGGGTGTCTCCTGGAGGCGGGGTGAGGCCTGCAGCTGGCCACAAGGCCCTGGGAGCCAGGGCAGAGCCTGGGCCCAAGAAAGGGGGCAGTTTCAGAGCTGCAGGGTCTGGGGCCCAGAAAGCACAGCCTGGGCATGGCCCCTGCAACCCTAGGGAGCTGCCACAGTGAGCACCTGCCCATGCCCACAGCTGGCATCTGGAGTGAGGGCAGATTGGGGCAGGAACAGCTGCACAAGGGGACGGGTTCCTGTGAGCCGAGGGCACCGCTGGGGGCTGCATCCAGAGCTCTGCTTAAAAGAATCTCATCCCAGCCTGCGGAACTCCCGAAGTGCACATGGAATTATACCTGGACCTGGCCTCTGAGTTGGGAGGGAGGGGCTTGGAGAAGACCCTTGCCCTGGGCAAGTGTGTCCCCCTTCGTGGCTCCCCCACCCAGCAGCCCGCAGCCCAGATGGAAGCTTCAGGGTGCTTGGAACCCCTGGTGCTGCTCCCAGCCCTGACCGTTCTGCATATGAACATGGGCCTTGGTTTCCCCATCTGTATGAAGAAGGGAGTAGGGCTGGGTGATTCGCAAGCCCTCCTGATCTTACCTCTACAGAGGTTGTCCCCGTGACAGCATCTGTCCCCCCACCTCAGCCACATCATGCTCAGCCCACCTGCCTTGGTGAGGACACAGAGGTAAAGGTGTATGCAGTTGCTCTCAATGGCTTTATTTGTGTTTTACACAGATGCGGGGTAGGGGGGGTGGTCTCGGCCTCCACGCCTTCCCAGGCATGAATTTCATGATGCGGGCATCCACGCCTGGTGACAACAGGAGGTGCTGGTGCTGCTCCAGGACACGATGCCCTCCAGAGTCCAGGCTCCATCCTGGCAGGCAAGGGCTGTCGGAGTCACCCTGCAGGAAGGAGAGGAGGTGTCTCCAGGCCTGAACTGGGTGCCAGGGCCTGGGAGACCCTAACCTGGCGGAGTCCAGGGAGGGGTGCGGAGAAATGGCAAGTGTGGGTGCAGGGGCTGTGCCAGGGTCCTGAGGCCTGGGTTCACGTGGCAGCCCCAGCTCTGCCATGCACACTCCTGGAGGGAGCTGGGGCAAGTGGCTTTCATCCATGCCGGGGCGCCATTCATCCCATGAGCTGACGCTTCCAGCTCAGAGGGCTGGGAAGAGGAGGAAGTCCCCAGGCAGCCTCGCCTGCCTGGTTCAGGAAGCTGTGAGCCTGAGTCCTGGCCCTTGTAAGGCCTAGGGAAGGAGGGCAGAGAGGAGTGGGGAGCCCAGGCCTCCATGAGTGGACTGGATAGTGCTGGGGTACATTGAGAAAGGAACAGGAATGGGACTGGACAGGTGAGTCTATGGAGACGGATGGAGAATAGCCCGTGGCACGTGGTGATTTTTAATGATTATCTGTCCACGTTTTTCTACAATGAGCAAAACTTTACCATCGAAGACACCTGTCAGGGTGCTTTCAGGAGCTTTACTACTTGGGAAGGAAAAAGCTGGGAGAGGCAGGTGCCCATGGGCCCTGGCAGCCAAGGGTGCAGGGCAAGGCCCAGGCCAGCTGGGCAGGGGCCCTTGTGCCCACTCACCTCCTCTCCCAGAGGTGGGTGTGTCCCATCGTGGTGTCACGAGCCACCTCCTCTCCCTGGCTGTGTGGCCTTAGCGTTAGCCATCCTCAGCACCTGGATGGCCTCCGGGTGAGAGCCAAGGTCAGACGCCCTGGCCACCACACGATCCCGGCCACCACGCGGTGGCTCTTCCTGGAGAGTGAGGGTGGCAGGTGGTGCCTGGGCTCATGGGGGTGCCTGGGAAGTGAGCCAGTCAGGGTGAGCCCTGCTTGCCCCTCAATCTCATGGTGATCTCAGGGCATCCCTTTTTCAGGGTCTAAATTTCCCCACCTGCACAGTGAGGGTACGGGACCTCCCAGGTTTCCCCAAGCTGCCGTCTGGGTGGCCTGCGAGGGTGGAGGTGGGGTGCACGGCCTGGGGTGGGTGTCTCCTGCAGAGGCGGCTCTGCCTGTGGCCGGGGGATGGGGGTGCTGGTTCCCCAGCCTGCAGTTCATTTCCGACCCTTTTCCTGTTGGTTGCAGGGTGTAGTTGGGGTTGGGAAGGGGGATGAGTGTCATTCCCTGACACCTGGTGGGCCCCAACTCCTCAAGCTCAAGCCTCACCTGACCCCTGGTGGGCAGCGGTGACCACCCAGTCCTCGCTGATGTGGTAGCCCCCGCAGAAGTGGAAGCCAGCTTTGTACTGGGAGGATAGGAGGACTGGCAACTCCCACAAGGGCAGAAGGGACCCGAGGGGCGAGGGCTGTGTAATCCTAGCACTTTGGGAGGCTGAGGCAGGAGGATCACTTGAGGCCAAACTTCAAGGCCAGTCGGGCCGCATAGTGAGACCCAAGTCTCTATTTATATATTAATAAAAATTGTTTTAAACTTCCCCCCAACTCTAGCCTGCCCACCACCCAGGGTCCCCCCCACCACATGGGCAGGACCTCTCTGATCTGCAGGGACACCTGCCAGGCCTCGGAGCTGGAGTTGGCATCCTCCCCAGGACAGCCGGCAGTTGATGGTGTCCTGAGGTGCCACTGCAGTGCCCTCAGCCCCCTCCCCTGACCGTTGTGTACCCAAGGGAGTGTCTGTCCCCTTCTGAGCCCAGGGTGCTGGGACATGGTGGCTGTATCTCCTTGGGTCCCTGTGCTCTTGAGGACTCTGAGTCAGTGGCTGGGGTGGATTGGGGTGTGGGGCCCGGGGGCACATAAACCCAGGAGGCCGCCCAAGTCCAGAGGGTGCAGGGGCTGGGGGTGAGGGGTGGGCAAAAGGCGTGGATGCAGGAGCCCCTCAGGAGGCAGAATCGTAGGGTGTGGAGGGTCTGAGGGTGCGGGGGCTAAGGAAGGGAGGAAACAGATGCCCCAAGCACGGCCGAGGGGGTGGGGGTAGCGGCCAGAGGGGCGGGGGCCAGCTGGCAGGGTGTGAGGAGGAAGGGGAGGACGATCTGGCCACGGAGGATGTGGTGCCTTGATGAAACATGGCACGGCGGGCTTTTTGCTTCTGGGCATTTGGGGCTGGGGATGGGCATGTTTGACCTGGGGCTCCCGGCCTGCCTGAGCCTCGAACTTTTAAGAGTCATTGCCATAGGGCTGGGCGCGGTGGCTCAGGCCTGTAATCGCAGCACTTTGGGAGGCCAAGGCGGGCGGATGACGAGGTCAGGAGATCGAGACCATCCTGGTTAACACGGTGAAACCCCGTCTCTACTAAAAAAATACAAAACAATTAGCCGGGCATGGTGGCGGGCGCCTGTAGTCCCAGCTACTTGGGAGGTGAGATCGCACCACTGCACCCCAGCCTGGGCGACAGAGTGAGACTCTGTCTCAAAAAAAAAAAAAAAAAAAAAAGTCACTGCCAGGGGGAAGCCAGTGATCCAGAGAAAGGCCATGGGATGTCAGAGGGTCCCCATACTGTCCCCTGAGCCCACCAATCACGGCCCACCTCGACACCACCCACCTCATCACCAGTCCTTGCGTTGATAACGCTCCTGGCTCCAGCGTATGTCTGGCAGCCCTAGGAGTGGCCGTGGGAAGATTCCTTGGAGCCACAGGTCTGTGGGGCCAGAGTGAGCTCATCCCCCCACAGCCCCCACGCTGCCCACGCCCTCCTGCAGGGCCCAGAGCAAGAGAGCAAGGGTGGGTGGCAAGAACCTGTCGCCTGGGGGCAGGTGCTGAGGATGGGGGCCAAGGTCCACCCGGTCCCCACCAGCCAGATCCCCCGTCTGTCTCTGCACCCCTTTTCATCTGCCCGTGTGTTCCTGGCCACTCTCTGGGAAGCAGGAGCCTGAGTGGTGGGAGAGGGGACTAAGGAAGGGTCCTCCCAGAGGCCGCCCATGCCTAGCCCAGCCCAGTCCAGCCCAGTGGGGGCCCAGGTTCCGGAGTGGAGTGAGGCCTTGGAGGCCCCAAAACAGAAGACGGACAGCGCCGACGTGTGTTCCATGGGTTTACTGAGGCTCTGTGGGGAGCAGGGTCGGAGGGAGCCGCGGGCTCAGTTGGCAGCCAGGATCTTCTGCACCCAAGGTATGAGCTTGGTGACACGGGCGTACACGCCAGGGCTGGAGGTGGAGCAGGTGTCGCTGCCCCAGGACACAATGCCCACCAGGGTCCAGGCTCCATCCTTTTGGCAGACCAGGGGGCCGCCAGAGTCGCCCTGTGGGAGAGGGAGAAGGGGGCTTGGATCTGGCAGCCGAGACAGACTGGTCCCAGGGGCCACTGGACATTGTTCCCAGAGTCCAGTCCAGGACCCCACACACAGCAAAGGCTCAGCATGTGCTGTTGCGTGGGTTATGAAAGACCCTAGTAGCTGCTTATGTGGTTCATGCCCCTGGAAGCCTGAGCCAGCCCTGGAATGGGACCCTTTAATGGCAGCTCAGTAAAGCTGGTTTGACCAATAGGAGGAAGAGCATGGTGGGGCTGGCCAAGGGGTCCGTGTGAGGGAGGGAGGGCTGCTGGAGCCCGCTGTCCTGCTGGGATCCACGGTCCAGATTGTGCACTGCACAACTCCAAGAGCCATTGGCTCTGACATTGGCCATGGAATTTTGCAACAAGGCGACTCTGACACCCAGGAAGGAGTGGGGTTAGTAGATGAGAGCAGAGAGGGGTGGAAAGCCCAGACCTCCCCTGCACCCCGCTCGCCTGGCCAGGGCCTGGGCAGGGCCAGCCTCACCATGCAGGAGGAGACGCCACTGGCCCCGGCACAGATCATCACGTCGGTGATCCTCCTGCCCCAGGACTTCTTGCATTCGGCATTGGACAGGAGGGGCAGGGCTGCCTGCTGCAGCTTGTCAGGGGTCTTGTTGGCTGCAGGACAGGAGGAGGGTCAGGGCCCCTGGGCTCACTCAGCCAAGAGTGGAGGGAGAGACCCGGGGCCGACACGCCTGCCCTACCCTGCACCATCACCACGATGTTGGGTACGGCCCCTGGAGCCTCAGAAGCGCCTGTGGGACAAGGGGGCCTCGGCCCTGCCCGGGTGGGAGCCCCACGCTGCGACTCCAGGCAGGTCAGCCAGGGCAGGGCTCACCCGGCCGGGCGCTGCTCAGAAGCTCCCTGTGCAGGCTCCTCATGATCCGACCTGGATTTTATTTGCATTTGGGGGATTTTAAATTCAGAAGATTTTCAATAACGAACGGGCAGTTAGGAGCGTGTTGGAATTTAGAGCCAAACAAGAAGCGCCAAACGGTCACAGGGGGACTCCACAGCCAGGCAGCCCAGACCCCAGAGGCAGCCCCGCGGCCCCTCACCGTTGTACTTGGTCTTGCCCCAGCCTGTGGTGGCACACAGTGTCCCCGCGGGGAAGTCGTCGTCGGCGCTGGGCAGGCACACGGCGGACACTGTCTGGGAGAAGCGGGCAGGTGTGGCCAGCTTCAGCAGGGTGATGTCATTGTTCACGGTCAGAATGCTGAACTTGGGGTTCTTGAAGACCTGGGGGTGGGGGCCAGAGTGCCGGGGTGAGGCCCTGGGAGGAGGCAGGACCTGCAGGCTTCGAGGACAGACTCCTTCCCTGGTGCCCGTTAAGGAGCAGTCCATCCCCAGGGCCGGAATGGGAATCTCGAGGCCGGCCCGGCCCCACTGGGCGCCTGTCCCTGAAGCAGCCGAGGGGTCTCCCCCCGTGCCCACGGCCCTGCCCTCTGCTGCACGGGGCCTGGGTACCTTGGCGATCTTCAGGACCTGGATGTTCTCCTCGTCAGAGCCCTGGTCAAACTCCCCAGCCACGACCACGTCGGAGGTCCTGGGCAGAGCGTTGTGGGTGAGAGAACATGCCCTGCTCCCCTCCCACCCGACCGGTGCTGGAAGCGGAGCCCAAGGCTGCCCGGTCCTCACCTGACCCCGCAGTGGGCAGCGGTGACCACCCAGTCCTCGCTGATGAGGGAGCCCCCGCAGAAGTGGAAGCCGGTTTTGTCCTGTGAGCAAGATGGGGAGGGTCAGCACCTCCCACCCGGGGGCACCCCCAGCCTGGCCCCTACCCAGGGTGCCCCCCACCTTGCAGAACCCCCTCACCTGCAGGGACACCTGCCAGGGCCAGGAGCCGGGGACGGCGTCCTCCCCATTCACGATCCTGGACAGGCCGCTGAGCACAGGGTGGATGGCGGGGACCCCGCAGCCTGGGGGCGGGAGTGGGCTGAGGGGTGGGTACCACCCACCCAGGTCCTAATGCTCCAGCCTCCTCTCACTCCCAACTCTTTTCCAGTCTCTGGGACCTAGACTGGCTCCCACATCCCCTTCTCTGAGAAGTTGGCCCTGGCTCTCCTCTCCGCAGAGCTGGAATCCCCAGGTACAACTGAGTCCAATGAACTGGGCTGTGGGCTGCTGAGGAATGGGGTGTTGGCCCCACCTCAGTTCGGAGAAGTCACACAGGTGGAGCGTGCGGTGGGCGGCAGCCCCGGCGCTCAGTCTGGGAGGCCAGACTCTGTGGGTTTGAACCTGGCTCCCTCCCTGCCCAGCTAAGCCACTCAGTGTCCCCATCAGCAAAGTGGGGATCACGCTGTTTCTGACCTCACAGGTTTGGTAGAGTGAGCAGGCAGAGCGCCAGCTCTGCGCCTGGCACCCGGGAAGTGCTCCGTGAGCAGGAGTTTAAGAGGGTGAGGCTCGAGGTTCTGAAAGGTTTGGACTGAACGGTGCCAAGCCCCAGCTGCCCACACATTCACCACCCAAACCTGTGCTGGGGCCGCTGACTGTTTGGGGGTTTCCCGAAGGCCTCAGGGCAGCCCCCGGACACCTGCCTCCTCCCCCCGCCTCCTCCCCTGAGAGCCTCAGGTCTGCTGGGGGTGAGGAAGGGGAGCGGGACTCCCCATCTCCTGAGCTCAGAGGCGGCAGCTGAGCCTGGGAGGGAGGCATTGACCTCTCAGCGCCCACGGCAGAGATGGAGCCGGTGACTCGCCCAGGCCCACACTGCGGTGCACAGCTGAACTGGGAGCTGGGACCCTGCTGCCTCTTGCTGGCCTCGGGGCTGGGAGTGAGAGGAGAAAACCCTTCGGCCTCCGCAGGGCCTGGCACTCACCGAAGGTGGTACCCAGGAGGGCCCAGCAGGAGAGGAGCCAGAGGAAAGCCATGGTGCCGCTGGCAGGGGTGTAGGACGCCTGTCTGCCGGTCCCCGTTATAGCCCTGTGTGCCTGCTGTTATCTGGAGACCTTGGGGCGATAATCCCTTCCCTGGGAGTGGGCAAGATGTGTCGGTGCAGGGCTGGCCAGGAAGCCTGGGATGGCAGCAGCTGTGGCCTTAGCTGAGCCGGGCTAACCCAGGTGGCCTTCGACCATTGCCTTTCTCCTCCAGGCCCAGGCTTGGGCAGGGGCCTCCAGGGGCTGAGTCCAGCATCCCCGGGTTTGAGCCCCAGCTGAGTCTCTTGTGCTCTGCAAAGAATTCACTTGATCTTTTCATGGTTTGAAAACCCCTGGGCAGGCCGGGCACGGTGGCTCACGCCTGTAATCCCAGCACTTTGGGAGGCTGAGGCGGATGGATCACGAGGTCAAGAGATCAAGACCATGCTGGCCAACATGGTGAAACTCCGTCTCTACTAAAAATACAAAAAATTAGCCAGGCGTGGTGGCGCACACCTGTATTCCCAGCTACTTGGGAGGCTGAGGCAGGAGAATGGTGTGAACCCGGGAGGCGGAGGTTGCAGTGAGACGAGATTGCGCCACTGCACTCCAGCCTTGTGACAGTGAGACTGTCTCAAAAAAGGAAAAAAAAAAAAAAAAAAGAAAAAAACCCAATGGGCAATGTGACCAAGTAGAGGAGAGGCTGGGGGAGCAGGCCTGTGCCCCATGGTGTAGCCAGAGGCTGGGGTGCGGGTGCTCGCCGGGTCCCAGGGGATGGCTAAGAAGGCTCAGTGAAGGCCCAGTCGACATCTGTGTTGGTCACTTGGGCTGTGTACAGGGGAGGGGTAGCTACCTGCTGTCCTCACACTGGGCCACCCCTGCACACAGGCGCCAGCACACCTGGGCCCTGGAGCTGAGCAGGTGGCATCAGAGGGCAAGACTGGGCCTAGGGCCCGGCCTGGGGGCCTGGCATCGCCCTGATGAGAACTGATGGAGGCTGAGCCTCAGGGCAGAGCATGGGCGGGGACACCTGGTTCCTCGTGCGGGTGGCAGCATGGGTGGTGGAGCCCTTTCTCAGCAACTGGGAAACGGGGGAGGGAGAAATTTTGGATTGAGGCTGCCAGATGGAGGGCAAGTTCCCCAAAATGCACAGGAAAAGGTGCCTCGTGGCTGTTTTCAATTCCACCACACTGATGCCTGCAGCATGTGTGTTTACAGCACGGGTTGTGGGGTCAGGCAGCTGTGGAGCCGTGGGCAAATGACTTGCCCTCTCTGATCCTGTATGTAATTGAGGATGCTTAGAGTATGGGTCCCATGACAAAAGGAAGAGCCTTCTTGAGCACCAGGACCAGGCCAAGCATGCAATCCACGCTGGCGGGGCCCCTACATTCCTCTTTCTTGAGTGAATCACCTGTTCAGGCCCTTCGCTCATTCTAGAAGATTGTCTGAGGACAGAGGGGTTGGCGGGCACCAGCAGGACGGAGCATGGCCTGGTCGGGATGAGACGCACCCACCTCTGCATGCACATGGGCTCTTCCTGCCAGCCAGTGCCCACCAGGCCCACCAGGAACAGCTGAACAAAACCAACAAATTCCTGCGTGTGGCAGCTGACAGCCGGGAGGAGGCTGGAGAGTTTAGGGAAGAGAGTCAATTTTTAAAATAAGTAAAATACACACACCAGCAGCTAAAGAGTTCTTCTTCTCATTATTATTACTGATACTGAGGCCAGGAGGGCCTCACTCTGAAGGGGACATTTAAGCAAACAGCCTAGGAGTTTGTGGGAGCAGTCCAGAGCACCCTCGGAGGAGAGGAAACGAACCTGGGGTCGCAGGACCCAAAGAGGCCTGCGTCCCTAGGGCAGCGAAGAGCTCAGAAGTCGAGGGGGCGGGCCCAGGAGGGCCCTAAGGAGACGGTACTAGAGCCTCAGGGGCAGCCCCTAGCTATAAGCTGGCTGGGGCAGATGGGGGAAAGGGCGCAAGCCCTCACCTGGCCTGAGTGACCTGTGGCCCCAGCTGTGTGGCCTTAGGAGCTAACCGCTGGCCAGGACGTCACCCGCCATGTCCCCAACCCCGCAAAGGCTACAGAGGCTTGTGGGAACCGTGCAGCTGCAGCAGGGGTCGGGGACAGGCACGCACAGGTGTTCCCACTCCACTGCTCCTGGGGAAGGGACCCCTCCCCCACACTGCCCTCCAGTCCCCATGGGATCTGGACCCGAACGGCGAGGAAGGAGCCCGGGGACACTCAGGACAGATGAGTCAGGACGCACGCGTGAGCCGGGGCCCTGGTGGATCGGGGAGGCAGAACCGTGGCCTTGGCCAGAGTGGGAGCGGGAGGGATGAGCTGGGGGTCCCCACGTGCTGCAGCCTCCTGGCCACCTCTTCCTTTACTTACCTTGAAATGCCCTCACTTAAAATGTATATAAAGCCAGGTGCAGTAGCTCATGCCTGTGATCCCAGCACTTTGGGAGGCCGAGGCAGGAGGCTCACTTGAGCCCAGGAGTTCAAGACCAGCCTGGGCAACATGGTGAGACCCCGTCTGTACAAAAAATAAATTAGTCAGGTGTGATGGCGCAGGCATGGAGTCCCAGATCCAGGCTGGGACTTGGGAAACTGAGATGGGAGGATCACTTGAGCGTAGGAGGTGGAGGCTGCAAGTGAGCGGTGATCATGCCACTGGACTCCAGCCTGGGCGACAGGGTGAGAGCCTGTCTCAAAAAAACAAAAACAAACAAACAAACAAACAACCAAACAAACAACGAAGTGGATATAGGTTGATAACTTGTGAGGATCCAGGCACCTCTGTAACCACCACCTGCCTCAAGGCAGAGACCATTTCCTTCACAGCCCCTTGGCAGTCAATCCCCCACCTCCAGAAGCAACCACTGTTCTGATTTCTTTACCCGGAGGTTAGGTTTTGGTTTTGGTTGAAAGAGGCTGGTTCTGATGCCCAGGCTGTAGTGCAGTGGCATGATCACGGCTCACTGCAGCCTCAGCCTCCTCAGCTCAAGCAATCCTCCCACCTCAGCCTCCTAAAGTGCTGGGATTACAGGTGTGAGTCATCGCACCAGGGGATGTTGTCGTTATTGTTAAATTTTAAAAACTGTTAGCAGCCAGGTGCAGTGGCTCATGGTTGTAATCCTTGCGCTTTGGGAGGCCAAGGGGAGAGGATCCCTTTAGCTCAGGAGTTCAAGACCGGCCTGGGCAGCATAGTGAGACCTGTCGCTAAAAAAAAAAAAAAAAAAAAAAAAAAAAAAAAGCCAGGCATGGTAGCTGGCACCTGTAATCCCAGGTACTGGGGATGCTAAGGTAAGAGCATGGCTTGAGCCCGGGAGGAGGAGGTTGCAGTGAGCTGAGATCACGCCACTGCACTCCAGCCTGGGGGACAGAGCCAGACCTTGTCTCACACACACACACAAAAACAACTTTAAATTGTGGTAATACACATAACAAAATTGACCATTGCACCCGTTGTTTCTTTGCTTGTTTGTTTGCTTTTGAGATAGAGTCTCACTCTGTCGCCCAGGCTGGAGTGAAGTGGCATGATCTTGGCTCACTGCAAGCTCTGCCTCCCGGGTTCATGCCATGCTCCTGCCTCAGCCTCCTGAGTAGCTGGGACTATAGGCGCCCGCCACCACGCCCAGCTAATTTTTTTGTATATTTCAGTATAGATGGCGTTTCACTGTGTTAGCCAGGATGGTCTCGACCTCCTGACCTCGTGATCCGCCCACCCCGGCCTCCCAAAGTGCTGGGATTACAGGCTTGAGCCACCATGCCCGGCCCACACCTGTTTTTAAGTGTACCATTCAGCGCTAAGCACGTCCACAGTGCCGTGCGGCCACTCATCTCACGGAACTGAAACTCTGAATCCTGCCCATCAGTTAGTTTTCGGGTTCTGGAATTTCATGTGAACAGAACCCAGGTGTTTCTGGAAATCCGGCTGCTTTCACTCAGCATCTGGTCTTTGGAGTTCACCCACGCTGTTGCAGAGAGCAGCAGTCTCTTCCTTTTTATTGCTGGAATGCACTACAGTTTGTCTATCTGTTCTGTAGTTTTGATCTATTATGAATAAAGCTGCTATAATAAATAAAACATATATTAAAACATCCAAAGGCAAGTCTTTATGCAGATGTGTGTTCATTTCTCTTGGGCAAACACCTAGGAGTAGGCCAGGCACGGTGGCTCACGCCTGCAATCCCAGCACTTTGGGAGGCTGAGGTGGGCAGCTCACTTGGGGTCAAGAGTTCAAGACCAGCCTGGCCAACATAGTGAAACCCTGTCTCTACTAAAAATACAAATAGTAGCCGGGCATGCTGATGTGTGCCTGTATTCCCAGCTACTCGGGAAGCTGAGGTGGGAGAATTGCTTGAACCCGGGAGGCGGAGGTCGTGGTGAGTCGACCAAGCCATGGCACTCCAGCCTGGGTGGCAGAGCAGGACTCCGTCTCAAACAAAATATATGAGTAGAACAGCAGGGTCGTAGGCTGGGCCTGTGTTTATGGAAACTGTCAAAGTGTTTTCTCAGTGGCCATCTACTTTTCCTTCATAGCAAAGCAAAGCAAAGCAGGATCTGAGTCTGCAGCCCCCTCTGAGCATCTGCCCTTCTGAGAGGCACCTTCATAAAATTCCCTTGCCCCCTTCCGAAAGGCAGAGGACTTGGGAGCTGGTACACAGTGGGTTAGGAGGTGAGACCCTTCTCTTTTTTTTTTTTTTTTGAGACAGGGTCTCACTCTGTCACCCAGGCTGGAGTACAGTGGCACGATCACGGCTCAGCACAGGCTTGACCTCCCAGGTCCAGCCTCCCAGTTAGCTGGGACTACAGGTGTGGGCCACCATGCCTGGCTAATTTTTGTATTTTTTTGTAGAGACAAGATCTCCCTATGTCGCCTAGGCTGGTCTCAGACTCCTGGGTTCAAGCAATCTGCCCGCTTCGGCTGCCCAAACTGCTAGGATTACAGGTGTGAGCCACTGTGCCTGGCCAGGACCTTTCTCACAGCACCAGTGGGCTTGTCTAAACTTACCAAGTGGAGCGATTTAATGGAATGGTTCTTTGCCTAAACCCTTTCCGCTGGGTTTTGTCCCTCACCAAATGAGGCTGGGGGAATGTTTTTTTAGAGAAAGCACAGGGTGCTCCCTGAGCCAACGAGATCCCATGCAGCTTGCTTAGAAAACAATTGTCCCCCTGCTCCATGTTGATGCCTGGCTAGCAATAGTGGGGAGATGGGCTGGGGGGCGTTTCCTGACCCAGGAGGACAGCGAGTGTGGGCGCCGGATGTCCAGCAGGCGCTCAGCCCTTGTGGAGATCAGTGACATCTGCCCAAATGGGAACCAGCGGGGGCTGCTTATTCAGAGCTTGCCACAGCAAGGGAGTCGGCCTCTGTCACTTGCATTGACTAAGACGCCAAGGCCGGCAGGGTGGAGGGAAAGCTTCATGGAGGGAAGGGGAAGGCTCGCTGTGTCCTGGCTGGTGGCTATTGGTGTGGGGAAGTGGGAGGCAGGCTGCTGTGTGGTCTGCGTGTTTGTCCTACTGACACTTGTATGGAAATGTTATTAGTTTTTTGTGTTTTGTGTGTGTTTTTTTTTTTTTAAGAGTCAGGGTCTTGCTTTGTTGGTCCAGGCCGGAGTGCAGTGGTGTGATCACAGCTTACTATATAGCCTTGACCTCCTGGGCTCAAGCGACTCTCCCATCTCAGCCTCCCGAGTAGCTGGGACCACAGGTACACGCCACCACCCTGGCTAATTATTTATTTTTGCAGAGATGAGGTTTCAACATGTTACCCAGGCTCATCTTGAACTCCTGGGCTCAAGTGATCCGGCTGCCTTGACCTCCCAAAGCACTGGAGTTACAGGTTCGAGTCACTGCACCTGGCCGCATTGTTTGTATTAACAGGTGGGACCTGTAAGTGGTGATTAGCGTGTGGGATGGGGGGGGTGGGGCTCTGCTTCCCAGGTGGGATTAATGCCATTATATTAATAAAAGGCAAGCAACCCCCCTCGCGTCTCTCTTTGCCCTTCCACCTTCCACCAGGTGAAGATATGGAGTTCAAGACATCAGCCTGTGGCCAGGGTCGCCCACCCTGCCTGTTGACTTTGGACTTGCAGCCTTCAGAACTGTGAGAAAATACATTTCTATCCACTATAAATGACCCAGTCTGAGGTATTCTGTCCCGCAGCACTCAGGGCCTCAGGAGGCCTTCAGGCGCGCTCCGAACTCCGAGTGGGCGTCTTCTGTGACTGTCAGGGCGTGTGTGGCTTTTTAGGGCTGGCCGGTGGGGCTGCTGCTGTTTGGAGCCCTGGGCTTGTTGCTGCGCAGCGGGCAGAGTTCTGGTTTTTTAGGCGGTCTGTCCCCTGTTCGCGTGTGTATTCAGTCTCTCCCCTTCCATGCAGAGTTTTGTGGCACAGGCGTGGGTACCGGGAGCTGCAAAGAGCTGGGGCCATTTCTCAGTTGACGGCAGGATCTGCTCTTGGAGGTGGTGGGGATTGGTGGGGTGGGTTCTACGGAGAATTGGCATTCTCTTGTGAGGCCACCACCCTGGTTATCACTGAGAGCTCTGATGGAGAGACAGGTCGGCTCCCTCAGCCGCAGTAAGGGGATGCCCGTGTGGGCGAGGGAGTCTGGGGGAGATTTGGGTTCAGGGTTCTTTATCCTTGTTCTGTCTGCCTAAAAGCCCTTGCCCTGTGTCTCAGGGTGCCCACGCCTGTTGTGTAGTTCCTTAGCTTAGGGAGCACGGTGGGGTTGGGCATAGTGTATTTAACAATTTTTTTTTTTTTTTGAGACAGGGTCTCACTCTGTCGTCCAGGGTGCAGTGTAGTGGCGCGATCTCGGTTCACTGCAACCTCCGCCTCCCGGGTTCAAGCGATTCTCCTGCCTCAGCCTCCTGAGTAGCTGGGATTACAGGCATGTGCACTACACCCAGCTAATTTTTATGTTTTTTGTAGCAATGGGGTTTTGCCACGTTGGCCAGGCTGGTCTTGAACTTCTGACCTCAGGTGATCTGCCTGCCTGGCCTCCCAAAGTGCTGGGAGTATAGGTGTGAGCCACTGCGTCTGTCCTAACAGGTCTTGCACCTCTACCTCTGACAGGCCCCTGGCTTGTCCTCAGCCACGTCTGTCCTGTGGCCCCCGGGAGATGGGGGCTCCTCCAACGCCTTCTGATTGTCAGCCACGCTCTAGGCTGAATATTCCCTTCCTTCAGCTTCTCCTTTTGCCTGAATTTGCTCTCCATAGCCATTGGACGAAGACTTCTGACTCCATAATACTTAACAGCTTTACCGAGCTGTTAAGAGCTGTTATGTGTAATTCACATACCATACAATTCGCCCATGTAAAGTGTGCAATTTGATGGATTTTGGTTTATTCCACTGATTTTATTTAATTATGGTAAAATATAGGTAACATAAAATTCGCTGTTTTAACCGTTTTTTTTTTTTTAGACGGAGTTTCACTCTTGTTGCCCAGGCTAGAGTGCAATGGTGCAATCTCAGTTACCGCAACCTCCGCCTCCCAGGTTCAAGCAATTCTCCTGCCTCAGCCTCCTGAGTAGCTGGGATTACAGGTGCATGCCACCACACCCGGTTGATTTTTGTATTTTTAGCAGAGATGGGGTTTCTCCATGTTGGTCCGGCGGCTGGTCTCGAAATCCTGACCTCAGGTGATCAGCCTGCCTTGGCCTTCCAAAGTGCTGGGATTACAGGTGTGAGCCACCGTGCCCAGCCCATTTTAACTATTTTTAAGTGTACAATTAGTGGCGCTAATTACATTCTACAATACTAATTACATTCAGAATTTGTGCAAGCATCACCACTATTTACAAAATTCTGTACCCAGTGAACAATAACTCTGCATTCCTCTCTCCCCTCAGTGCCTGTGGGCCTCTAACCTAGTTTTTGTCTTTATGAATTTGCCTATTAAGAATGTTTCATGGCCGGGTGTGGTGGCTCATGCCTGTAATCCCAGCACTTTGGGAGGCTGAGGCGGGCAGATCACGAGGTCAGGAGATCGAGACCATCTTGGCTAACATGGTGAAACCCCGTCTCTACTAAAAACACAAAAAATTAGCCGGGCGTGGTGGTGGGCGCCTGTAGTCCCAGCTACTTGGGAGGCTGAGGCAGGAGAATGGCGTGAACCTGGGAGGCAGAGCTTGCAGTGAACCGAGATGATGCCACTGCCCTCCAGCCTAGGCGACAGAGCGAGACTCTGTCTCAAAAATAAATAAATAAAAATAAAGTTTCATTTATTAGCTGGGTGTGGTGGCGCATGCCTGTAATCCCAGCTACTCAGGAGGCTGAGGCAGGAGAATGGGGTGAATCTGGGAGGTGGAGGTTGCAGTTGAGCCGAGATCATGCCACTGCACTCCAGCCTGGGCGACAGAGTGAGACTCTGTTTCAAGAATAAAGTAAATAAAGATGAGACACTCCAAGTCAGCCAGGCGTGGTGGCTCACAAAAAAGTTTTTCAAAAAAAGGTTTCATATAAATGGAATCATGCAATAATTGTCTTTGTATTGCTTATTTTCAGGTAGCAGACATCATTTTAGATTCGGCCGGGTGTGGTGGCTCACGCCTGTAATCCCAGCATTTTGGGAGGCCGAGGCGGGTGGTTCACAAAGTCAAGAGATTTTGAGACCATCCTGGCCAACATGGTGAAACCCGTCTCTACTAAAAATACAAAATTAGGTGGGTGTGGTGGCAGATCCCTGTAATCCCAGCTGCTCCGGAGGCTGAGGCAGGAGAATTGTTTGAACCCGGGAGCCGGAGGTTGCAGGGAGCCAAGATTGCACCACTGCACTCCAGCCTGGGCAACAAGAGCAAAACTCTGTCTCAAAAAAAAAAAATCCATCTTTTGGCGTATATCAGTACCTGATTCATTTTGTTTTGTTTTTGTGTTTGTGTTTGAGACAGGGTCTCGCCCTGTTGCCCAGGCTGGAATGCAGTGGCACAGACACAGCTCACTTCAGCCTTGACCACCTGCGCTCAAGCGATCTTCCTGCCTCAGACTCCCATGTAGCTGGGACCACAGGCACATACCACCACACCCAGCTGATTTAAGAAAAAAATTTTTGTAGAGACGGGGTGTTTGTTGCCAAGGCTGGTCCTCAAACTCCTGGCCTCCCACAGTGCAGGGATTACAGGTGTGAGCCCCCACACCAGGCCTGCTTCATTCCTTCTTATGACTGAATAATAGTCCTGTGGAGAGCTCATGTCTTACTCATTCCTCTGCTGATGAACAACAGGGGTGATTTCTGTCTTTTGGCTGTTGGGAATAGTGCTGCTGTGAACACTGGTGTGCGAGTGTCTGCTTAAGTCCTTTTATTTAGGGGGAGTGGAATTGTCAGGTCATGAGGTAACTCTGTTTATTTTGTGGAATTGCCAAACTGTTTTCTTTGCACTTCTTTTTACTCTTTTTTTTGAGACAAGGCCTTGCTCCGCTGCCTAGGCTGGATCTCGGCTCACTGCAGCCTCGATCTCCCAGGCTCAAGTTATCCTCCTACTTCATCCTCTTGAGTAGCCGGGACTATGCCACCACGCCACCATGCCCAGCTAATGTTGTTTTTTTTAAATTTTTTTGTAGAGATGGGGTCTCACTTTGTTGCCCAGGCTGGTGTTGGACTCCTTGGCTTAAGTGATCCTCCCACCTTGGCCTCCCACAGTGCCAAGATTCCAGGCGTGAGCCACTGTGCCCAGCCATGCCGAACTGTTTGCATAGCAGCTTCACCATTTTACATTCCCAGCAGCAATGTATGAGGGTTCCAGTTTTTCCACATCCCACACTTGTTATTTTCTGTTTCTTTAAATTGTAGCTATCAGCCTGGTGTGCTGGCTCACGCCTGTAATCCCAGCACTTTCGGAGGCCGAGGTGGCTGGATCGCTTGAGGTCAGGAGTTGGAGATCATCCTGGCCAACATGGCAAAACCCCATCTCTACTAAAAATACAAAAATTAGCTGGGCATGGTGGCAGACGCCTGTAATCCCAGCTACTTGGGGGGACTGAGGCAGGAGAATCGCTTCAACCTGGGAGGCAAAGGTTGCAGTGAGCTGAGGTCACACCCCTGCACTCCAGCCTAGGCGACAGAGCAAGACTCTGTCTCAGGGGAAAAAGAAAAAAAAAGGGTAACATGGTGATGTGAACTTTTGAAATTTTCTCTTTAGTATATAAGTTTAGTTTTGCTTTATAGTTGTGCATTCTCCAGCAGCGGTGGGAGTGGGGAGGGGATATTCTAAATGCCAAGGTGACCTGGCCCGCTGACCACAGAGCCCAAGGCCTTCCATGGAAACACCATCCACCCACTGCGTCTTACTTTCATACCCTCATCGTCCGGAAATGCAGTACAGCCTGTCCTGTCCAGCCTTGCCCCAGGTGACTGTGGTCACTATATTACATGCTCATCTGTGTCGTGTGTGTCTGTCATGAGCGTCTCAGGCCCATAAGGGCAGGGATGCTGCGGGCTCTGTCCCCTGAATATCTGCCCACAGGGTGCTGAGGATCCCTTGGCCTTCACTTTCTGCCCAGTCACCGACCTGTCACCCACACCTGTCTTTCCTCCTTGTTTTGTGACAATGAAAAAAGTTTTTCTGCTTCCTCAAAATTTATTTTCAGACAGGCGCAGTGACTCACGCCTGTAATTTCAGCACTTTAGGAGGCCAAGGCCACAGGATCACCTGAGGCCGGGAGCTCAAGAGGAGCCTGGCCAACGTGGTAAAACCCTGTCTCTACTAAAAATACAACAATTGGCCAAGTGCGGTGGCTAACGCCTGTAATCCCAGCACTTTGGGAGGCCGAGGAAGGTGGATCACCCGAGATCAGGAGTTTGGGACCAGCCTGGCCAACATGGTGAAACCCCGTCTCTACTAAAAATATAAAAATTAGCCAGGTTTGGTGCTATGCCTGTAATCCCAGCTACTCAAGAGGCTGAGGTGGGAGAATTGCTTGAACCTGGGAGGTGGAGGCTGCAGTGAGCCAAGATTGTGCCACTGCACTCCAGCCTAGGCAGCAGAGCAAGACCCCATCTCAAAAAAAAAAAAAAAAAATAGCTGGGTGTGGTGGGCACCTGTAATCCCAGCTACTTGGGAGGCTGAGGCAGGAGAATCAGTTGAACCCGGGAAGAGGAGGCTGCAGTGAGCTGAAATTGCGCCACTGCACTCCGGCCTGGGTGACAGAGTGAGACTCCATCTTAAAAAGTTTGTTTTCTGTGTCATTTTATGGTGCGGAATCCAAGTTCCATTTTGTAAGAAACTGAAACTTTATGAAATGATTAGTTCCTTATATCATGAGTCATTGCAGAAAAAGTGAATTCTGTTGGGTTCTACAGCACAGGTGGGACGCGTGTCAGTGGCTTTGCCCACCTGTTACGGCCACCAGCGGGTTGGTCCTTGTCACCCAGACCCTCGCCACAGTCAGAAGTGGCTTGGCTTCACTGGTGACTTGCAGTGACACTCTGGAGAATCCACGATGCCCTGAGTCACCCTTTGCTTCTAGGACAGTGTTAGGCGGAAACACCCTTCACTGAGAGCCTGAGTTCCCGGAGACCTGGTTCCATGACAGCAGCTGGTCCTCCACGAGCCCTGGGGTGGAACTGCCTCCACTTCCCCTCTGGGAACAGAAGAGCCTGGTGCCGTCTCCTGGCAGGGATACTGCAGCTCACAGCTGGCTCTGTGGGATCATGTCCCCAAGGCTGACCGGTGATGTCAGCGCAGCTGCCCCTTTCCCAGGGACTGGGGTTGTCTGGTAGAGAGCCAGGCGGGGCTCTGTCTCCACTTATTGCCCAAGGTCCCTGGGTAACAGGGAGGGTGGGCTCAGGCCTCCCTGGCTGGGGGAGCGGGGGGGGCTGGGCTCCCTGCCCCCCCAAGGTGGTAAAAGGGGCCCCGCAGCTGGCAGGCCCCACACCTTCTGAGGCAGCGGCATGGCTTCCCTCTGGCTCCTCTCCTGCTTCTCCCTTGTGGGGGCCGCCTTTGGTGAGTGCTGGTGCCCGAGGGGTCTGTCCTGAGGGAGCCCTGAGCCTGGCTGAGAGGGGGATCTGAGTCCCCTGCTCTGCCCCCTGGGGCCTCATCCCCAGCACAGGTAACCTGAGGGCTCAGGAGAGGGTGCATTCTGGGGCTTTCTGAGCCCACACAACCTGCTCCAGGAGTGGGAAGGACGATGCTGGTCTCTGCCATGGTCTGAGGCTCCAGAAGTGGCTGGGGTGGGGGTGCCTTGTGCAGGGTAAGGTGTGGCCCCAGGAGACCTCCCAAGGCCTCCACCGGGGTTTTTATTGTGCTGGGTACTTGTCAAGCATTTTCTTCCTTTCTTTCTTTTTTTTTTTTCGAGACAGAATTTCACTCCTATTGCCGAGGCTGGAGTGCAATGGTGCAATCTCCACTTACTGCAACCTCCATCTCCTGGGTTCAAATGATCTTCCTGCCTCAGCTTCCCGAGCAGCTGGGACTACAGGCGTGGACCACCAACCCTGGCTAATTTTTAGTAGAGACGGGCTTTCACCACGTTGGCCAGGCTGGTCTTGAACTCCTGACCTCAGGTGATGCCCCCGCCTCGGCCTCCCAAAGTGCTGGGATTACAGGCATGAGCTACTGTGCCCAGCCGTGTTTTCTATTTTTTAAAAGAGAAATAGTAAAAGAAAATACAGAAAAGAATATGACATCCTTGTATCTACTGTCAGAATTCAGCAAATCTTTTTGCAGATTTGCTTCAGATATTTCTAAAACAGATTGTACTCAGGCTTCCCTTTTCTCCCTCCTTCCCTCTCTGGAATGTGAGCTTGATTCTGAACTTTCTATGAATAATTGCAGTGTGAGCTTATACAAATGTACTACATATTTTTATACATCTATACATAAGGTTTCAAAAAGGTTACATCAATGGAACGGTATTCTATCCTGTTTTTGGTTTTGGTTTTGAGACAGGGTCTCACTCTGTCACCCAGGCTGGAGTGCAGTAGTGTGAGTTTGCAGCCTCAAACTCAAGGGCTCGAGTGATCCTCCCACTATAGTCTCCCGAGTAGCTGGCGCTACAGGCACGCTAAGTTTAAAAACTTGTTTTGTTTTGTTTTGTAGAGATGGAGGTTTTTTTTGTTATTTTTTTTTCTTTTCTTTGAGACAGAGTTTCACTCTTGTCACCCAGGCTGGAGTGCAGTGGCGTGATCTTGGCTCACTGCAACCTCCGCCTCCTGGGTTCAAGCATTTCTCCTGCCTCAGCCTACTGAGTAGCTGGGATTACAGGCATGCATCACCACACCTGGCTAATTTTTGTATTTTTAATAGAGATGGGGTTTCACCATATTGGTCAGGCTGGTCTTGAACTCCTAACCTCCAGTGATCCGCCCACCTCAGCCTCCCAAAGTGATGGGATTACAGGCGTGAGCCCCCATGCCCGACCTGGGGTCTTATTATGTTGTCCAGGCTGGTCTCGAAATCCTGTGCTCCAGTGATGTGCTCACCTCAACCTCCCAGGGTGCTGGATTACAGGTGTGAGCCACTGTGCCTGGCTGATGTAACTAATACTCCATTCTACCTCCATTCTACAACAATGTGCTTTTTCCCTACTCAAATCTTCTCACTTCCTGCATGTTGACGTGGAGCTTCAGCTCATTCACCTGCATTTTTATAATGCGTGCTCTGTTGTGTGAGTATGCCACCATCTAGTTCTCTTATTTATTTATTTTTTTAGATGCAGTTTCACACTTGTCGCCCTGGCTGGAGTGCAGTGGCATGATTTCGGCTCACTGCAACCTCCACCTCCCAGGTTCAAGCATTTCTCCTGCCTCAGCCTCCTGAGTAGCTGGAACTACAGGCATGAGCCACCACCCCAGCTAATTTTTGTATTTTTAGTAGAGACAGGGTTTCATCATATTGTCCAGGCTGGTCTTGAACTCCTGACCTCGTGATCCACCTGCCTCGGCCTTCCAACGTGCTCTTTCTCATTTTTTTGCTATTACAATACCAGTTTTTGATGCTCTCAAACGTCAGGGAGGCACCTTGCCTGCCTGTGTTCCTGTGGGCAGGAGACGCAGGGGCTGCCTTGTAAGCAGGCGAATATGACCCCAGAAGGGGACGGCTGGTCTGAGGGACTGGGTGTGCTCAAATGTAAAGCCCAGTTTGTTGGGTTGGCCCGCGCACAGGAGTCGAGAATCTGGTCCTGACATAGCAGAGGCATGGTGGGCGTGTGTGGAACACCTGACTATTTTCATTGTTTTGTTTTCTGCTTCCGATGTGCCATTTTATGGTGTGGAAGTAAAGTCCAGCTGTGTTTGTTTTGATTTTTTCTTGAGATGGAGTTTGGCTCTGTCACCCAGGCTGGAGTGCAGTGGCACGATCTCAGCTTACTGCAACCTCTGTCCCCCAGGTTCAAGCGATTCTCCTGCCTCAGCCTCCCAAGTAGCTGGGATTGTAGGCCTGTGCCACCATGCCCGGCTAATTTTTGTATTTTTAGTAGAGATGGGGTTTTACTATGTTGGCCAGGCTGATCTTAAATTCCCAACCTCAGGTGATCCACCCCGCTTGGCCTCCCAAAGTGTTAGGATTACAGGCGTGAGCCACTGTGCTGGCCAAAGTCCAGTTTTATTAAATAAGAAACCAAGACCGGATATATGGGGGCTCATGCCTGTGATCTCAGCATGTTGGGAGATCAAGGCAATAGGATTGCTTCAGCCCGGGAATTTGAGGTTGCAAGGCTGGGCACGGTGGCTCACGCCTGTAATCCCAGCACTTTGGGAGGCCGAGGCGGGTGGATCACAAGGTCAGGAGATCGAGACCATCCTGGCTAACACGGTGAAACCCCGTCTCTACTAAAAATACAAAAATTAGCTGGGCTTGGTGGCGGGCACCTGTAGTCCCAGCTACTCGGGAGGCTGAGGCAGGAGAATGGCGTGAACCCAGGAGGCGGAGCTTGCAGTGAGCCAAGATTGTGCCACTGTACTCCAGCCTGGGCAACAGAGCAAGACTGTCTCAAAAAGAAAAAAAAAAAAAAAAAGGAATTTGAGGTTGCAGTGGGCCATGATGACACCACGGCACTCCAGCCAGGGTGACAGAGCAAGACCCTAACTGGAAAAAAAAAAAAGAGAAACCCAAACTTTACACAATGTTTCCTGAAATTGTGGAATTCAACCTGCCCACCCAGGGTCCACGGTGCCATTTCACTCTCCCGTCTGCAAATTGTCAGAGCCCCAGATTCCTGGTGGACTTGGGGTTATCAGATTTTCTTCCCACTTCCCCTCTCGCCACCAGTCTAACAAAGGCGCGTGGGCCAGTGGAGCTCACGTGGTTCTGCTGCCCTTTTTATAGCTGAGGACACCAAGGCCTGAGTGCTGCCCTGCCCGGTCTAGGGTCACACGGCAAGGAAAGTGTGGCCTCGAGGCTGAGCCCAGGCAGTCTTACAGCCCGGCCTGTTTTCTGCTTCTTCAGGCTGGACAGGCCCCAGGTAGGAGGAGACATGACGCTCTGCATCCTGGAAGGATGACTGGAGCCAGCAGGCCGAGAGTTGGGAACGTTTGAGCCTAGAGACTTGGGGACCAGGGAGGCGGAGGCGGCATGTGCCAGGGAGGTCCTGAGCTGGCTTCAGTGGACTGGGGTAGAACCGGGAGAGCTGCACGCAGGCAGGTGAGGCCCAGGTGGGTTTGGGGCCTCAGCCCTTATTCACCCCACTCCCCCCCAGGCTGCGGGGTCCCCGCCATCCACCCTGTGCTCAGCGGCCTGTCCAGGATCGTGAATGGGGAGGACGCCGTCCCCGGCTCCTGGCCCTGGCAGGTGTCCCTGCAGGTGAGGGGGTTCTGCAAGGTGGGGGGCACCCTGGGTAGGGGCCAGGCTGGGGGTGCCCCCGGGTGGGAGGTGCTGACCCTCCCCATCTTGCTCACAGGACAAAACCGGCTTCCACTTCTGCGGGGGCTCCCTCATCAGCGAGGACTGGGTGGTCACCGCTGCCCACTGCGGGGTCAGGTGAGGACCGGGCAGCCTTGGGCTCCGCTTCCAGCACCGGTCGGGTGGGAGGGGAGCAGGGCATGTTCTCTCACCCACAACGCTCTGCCCAGGACCTCCGACGTGGTCGTGGCTGGGGAGTTTGACCAGGGCTCTGACGAGGAGAACATCCAGGTCCTGAAGATCGCCAAGGTACCCAGGCCCCGTCCAGCAGAGGGCAGGGCCGTGGGCACGGGGGGAGACCCCTCGGCTGCTTCAGGGACAGGCGCCCAGTGGGGCCGGGCCGGCCTCGTGATTCCCATTCCGGCCCTGGGGATGGACTGCTCCTTAACGGGCACCAGGGAAGGAGTCTGTCCTCGAAGCCTGCAGGTCCTGCCTCCTCCCAGGGCCTCACCCCGGCACTCTGGCCCCCACCCCCAGGTCTTCAAGAACCCCAAGTTCAGCATTCTGACCGTGAACAATGACATCACCCTGCTGAAGCTGGCCACACCTGCCCGCTTCTCCCAGACAGTGTCCGCCGTGTGCCTGCCCAGCGCCGACGACGACTTCCCCGCGGGGACACTGTGTGCCACCACAGGCTGGGGCAAGACCAAGTACAACGGTGAGGGGCCGCGGGGCTGCCTCTGGGGTCTGGGCTGCCTGGCCGTGGAGTCCCCCCGTGACCGTTTGGCTCTAAATTCCAACACGCTCCTAACTGCCCGTTCGTTATTGAAAATCTTCTGAATTTAAAATCCCCCAAATGCAAATAAAATCCAGGTCGGATCATGAGGAGCCTGCACAGGGAGCTTCTGAGCAGCGCCCGGCCGGGTGAGCCCTGCCCTGGCTGACCTGCCTGGAGTCGCAGCGTGGGGCTCCCACCCGGGCAGGGCCGAGGCCCCCTTGTCCCACAGGCGCTTCTGAGGCTCCAGGGGCCGTACCCAACATCGTGGTGATGGTGCAGGGTAGGGCAGGCGTGTCGGCCCCGGGTCTCTCCCTCCACTCTTGGCTGAGTGAGCCCAGGGGCCCTGACCCTCCTCCTGTCCTGCAGCCAACAAGACCCCTGACAAGCTGCAGCAGGCAGCCCTGCCCCTCCTGTCCAATGCCGAATGCAAGAAGTCCTGGGGCAGGAGGATCACCGACGTGATGATCTGTGCCGGGGCCAGTGGCGTCTCCTCCTGCATGGTGAGGCTGGCCCTGCCCAGGCCCTGGCCAGGCGAGCGGGGTGCAGGGGAGGTCTGGGCTTTCCACCCCTCTCTGCTCTCATCTACTAACCCCACACCCTCCTGGGGCCCAGTGAGGGCCAGGCCTTGGGGTCACAGCCGCCCATGAGGGTTCCTCCAGGCCATGCAGCTGAGGCTGCCCCTGGGGACTTCCTTGCAGCCCTGTGAGCTGGAGGTTTGGAGAGATGGATGGTGCCCCGGCTTAGAGAGGGAAGCCACCTGCCCCAGCTCCCTCCAAGAGTGCATGGCAGAGTGGGGGCTGCCATGTGAACCCAGATCTCAGGACCCCGGCACAGCCCCTATGCCCATGCTTACCATTTCTCCGCACCCCTCCCTAGACTCCACCAGGTCAGGGTCCCCTAGGCCCTGGCACCCCTTTCAGGCCTAGAGATACTTCCTCTCCTTCCTGCAGGGTGACTCTGGAGGCCCCCTGGTCTGCCAGAAGGACGGAGCCTGGACCCTGGTGGGCATTGTGTCCTGGGGCAGCCGCACCTGCTCTACCACCACGCCCGCTGTGTACGCCCGTGTCGCCAAGCTCATACCCTGGGTGCAGAAGATCCTGGCCGCCAACTGAGCCCGCAGCTCCTGCCACCCCTGCCTTAAGATTTCCCATTAAATGCATCTGTTTAGAAGCCCTGACTGCACTGCCTGTGTCTGTGTGGCCCAGGGGAGGTGGGCTTGAAGTTGTCCTTGTCACCCACAAAGGGGCAGCACTACCGTTCCCTTTCCAGGCTGCAGTTAATGTTGGCAACCCAGCCTTCTCAGGAAGCTGAGGTCTTCATATCTCTTGCCTGCTCACGGCTCCACCCTGGGTTTAGAATTTAGGCCCTACCTGCTGAAGCTAGCTTGACCCGTGGGGCTTTCTGGAAGGCAGCAGTCCTTGGCCAGGCTCTGCAATCCATAGCCCCCTGGAGTTGTCACTGGGACCACTGCTGACCCACACACTCCAGGTGCCTTTCTCTGCCTTTAGTCCCCCATGTCCAGTGCTCAGGAATGTGCATGCAAGCATCACCCCCTCCCCCGTCAGACCCCAGCCCCTCACACCTTCTGCATCCACTGCTGGGAGCTGGCGCCACTGTCCTCTCAGCTCCCACACTCTTCCCCGCCTCCCTCTCTGCATTTTCTGTGACCCTGCAGTTAGACTTTTTTTTTTTTTTTTTTTTTTTTTTTTTTGAGACAGAGTCTTGTTCTGCTGCCTAGGCTGGAGTGCAGTGACATCTTGGCTCACGGCAACCTCTGCCTCCTGGGTTCAAGCCATTCTTCTGCCTCAGCCTCTCAAGTAACTGGGATTATAGGCACTCACTACCACGCCCGGCTAATTGTTGTATTTTCAGTAGAGATGGGGTTTCACTATGTTGTTCAGACTGGTCTCAAATTCCTGACCTCAGGTGATCTGCCTGCCTCGGCCTCCGAAAGTGCTGGGATCATAGGCATGAGCCACCGCGCTCGGCCTCTGCAGTTAGATCTTGAGGCTTCCTCACGCTCAGCTTCCATCACTTCGGCCAGGCCATGGAGGGGGCCGGTTCCTTTCCCAGGATGTGTCCGGATTGGCGGTCTCTCTCTCTCTGGAAACTTTTAGTCTTTCCTTTAATGCAGTGAAAATTTTGTTGGAGAAAATTCTCCTGTTGTTCCACTGTCTGAAAAGATATTTATTCATTTTGATCTTGTAAAAGTTGCCTGTCACTCTGAAAAATAATTTTTGTTGAGACGTGCATGTGAGTATGTACATGGATATTTGGACTTGGAAGGTGTTTCAGTGTCTCCTGGCTTCTGTTGATTCGTGGAGAAGTCAGTGATTTACTGTTGCTTTTTAAAAAGGTTTAATGGATTTTCTTTGGATGCTTTTAAGATTTTACCTTTGATTTTCGTTGGTTTACCAAGATGCTTAGTTTCTTAGTTTCCTTGACTCAGCCTGCATGGGGTTCTTAGACAGTCTTTTTTAGAGTCTTGCTTTCTTGCCCAGGCAGGAGTGCAGAGGTTCGCTCTCAGCTCACTGTAACATCCATCTCTCAGGTTCAAGTGAGTCTCGTGTCTCGGCCTCCCAGGTAGCTTGGAGTACAGGCCTATGCTACCATGCCCGGCTAACTTATTTTATTATTTTTTTTTTGAGATGGAGTTTTGCTCTTGTTGCCCAGGCTGGAGTGCAATGGCGCTTTCTCGGCTCACTGCAACCTCCACCTCCTGGGTTCAAGAGATTCTCCTGCTTTAGCCTCTTCAGTAGCTGGCATTGTAGGCGTGAGCCCCCACACCCAGCTATTTTTTGTATTTTTAGTAGAGAGGAGGTTTCACCATGTTGGTCAGGTTGGTCTCAAACTCCTGACCTCAGGTGATCCACCCGCCTCGGCGTCCTCAAGTGCTGGGATTAGGCGTGAGCCACCGCGCCCAGCCTCTGAGTGCTTTTTATCATGAAGGGTGTTGGATCTTGTCAAAGGCCTTTTCTGCATCAATTTAAGTGATCACGTGATTTTCCCCTTTCATTCAATTAATGCATATTACGCTGATGGATTTTCTTGTTATTTCCTATAGCGCTTGGCATGCTGGGATAACTCCCACTTCATCATGGTGTATAATCCTTTTAATATGCTGTCGGGTTCAGTTTGCTAGTACTTTATTGAAGGTTTTTGCATCTATATTCATGAGAGATACTGGTTGGTAATTTTCTTCTGATGTTTTTATCTGGCTTTTGTATCAGGGTAATGCTGGCTTCCTAATCTGTATGTATCCATTTGTGATTTTTTAACATCACAAATTTAGATACTCAGCTCAGTAATTTTCAGTGTGTTCTTTTCTCATAAAAGTATTTCAGGAGGCAAGCTTTCCTCCAAACACTGCTTTCATTGTATTTTTTTTTTTTTTTTTTTGAGATGGAGTCTTGCTCTTATGCTCAGACTAGAATGCAGTGGCATGATTTCTGCTCACTGCAACCTCTCCTGAGTTCAAGTGATTCTCCCTCCTCAGCCTCCCAAATAGCTGGGATTACAGGTGTCCACCACCATGCCTGGCTAATTTTTGTATTTTTAGTAAGAACAGGGTTTCACCATGTTGGCCAGGCTGGTCTCAAACTCCTGACCTCAACTGATCCACCTACCTCGGCTTCCTAAAGTGCTGAGATTACAGGTGTGAGCCACCACACCTGGCCTTTTTTATTGCAATTTGATACACACTTTATAGTTCTAAGTCTTTTTCATTTCCTCCCCTGTACAGTGCCTCGGCATGACCCACTTTATCCTGAGGGCACCTGCAGGCCAGGGGCAGGCACCCATTGCCCCAAAGCCCTGGAGCTGGGTCGGAAGCAGAGCAGAACCCTGGTGCTCACTTCCTGTTTTTTCCTTGCACAGCCGAGTTCACAGCCTTCTGCCTTGGGCCACAGCTCTAGCCTCCCCACGTAACCACAGGTTCCGATCTTTGCTTCTTCTCCCAGGTCTTC
This sequence comes from Homo sapiens, assembly GCF_000001405.40. Taxonomy (NCBI): domain Eukaryota; kingdom Metazoa; phylum Chordata; class Mammalia; order Primates; family Hominidae; genus Homo; species Homo sapiens. Next base: position 31,510 of record NW_018654723.1, on the reverse strand, counting down.
CTGTCTCTTGATGTTTCCCTCTAAAGATCCATCATGGGCTGGGAATGGTGGCTTACGCCTGTAATCCTAGCACTTTTGGGGGCCGAGGAGGGCAGATCATGAGGTCAGGAAATTGAGACCATCCTGGCCAACATGGTGAAACCCCATTGCTATTAAAATACAAAAATTAGCCAGGTGTGGTAGTGGGTGTCTGTAGTCCCAGCTACTCAGGAGGCTGAGGCAGGAGAATCGCTTGAACCCAGGAGGCAGAGGTTGCAGTGAGGCGAGATCTTGCCACTGCACTCCAGCCTGGTGACAGAGTGAGACTCCATCTAAAAAAAATCTATCATGGCTGGTCCTGGGGGGCAGCCAACATTCCACACTAACCCGGCATCTTGGCAGGAATGGAATGGGCTCCCTCCTGCATTTTCTACTTCACTGGCTTTCCTAATACCTTTCTCTGCCCGTGCACTGTCAGCCGTTCTGATGATGCGTCTAATAGGTTGGAATTAAGGTTATAGATGGAATTTAATTATAAGGACATGAAGAGAAATTAACTTGGAGAATGGATGTGTGAAGAGGGGAAAAGCAAAATGAGAGAGAGCTTGGGCACAGGAGTGGGATCCAAAGTCGACTATTAAAAATAGTATCAAGCCGGCCGGGCGCAGGGGCTCACACCTGTAATCCCAGCACTTTGGGAGGCAGAGGCAGGCGGATCATCTGAGGTCAGGAGTTCGAGTCCAGCCTGGCCAACATGGTGAAACCCCCATCTCTACCAAAAATACAAAAATTAGCCAGGCGTGGTGGCACATGCCTGTAATCCCAGCTACGCAGGAGGCAGAGGCACAAGAATTGCTTGAACCCAGGAGGCAAGAGGTTGCAATGAGCCAAGATGGTGCCACTGCACTCTTGCCTGGGCAACAGAGTGAGACTGTCTCAAAAAAAAAAAAAAAAGCAGAGGCGGGTGGATTGTTTGAGGCCAGGAGTTTGAGACTAGCCTGGGCAACATAGTGAGACTCCTTTAAAAAAAAGAAAAAGTAGCTGGGTGCAGCGGGTGGCACCTGTAATGTGCTGCTCAGGAGGCTGGGGCATGAGGATCACTTGAGCCCAGGAGTTCGAGGCTGCAGTGAGCTATGATCACACCACTGCACTGCAGCATGGGTGACAGAGCAAGACCCTGTCACCCTGTCTTTCTCTGTGTGTGTGTGTGTGTATTTTTTTTTCTTTTTTTGAGATGGAGTCTTACTCTGTTGCCCAGGCTGGAGTGCAGTGGTGCAATCTCAGCTCACTGCAACCTCTTCCTCCCAGGTTCAAGCAATTCTCCTGCCTCAGCCTCCTGAGTTGCTGGGATTACAGGTGCATGCCACCATGCCCAGCTAATTTTTGTATTTTTAGTGGAGACATGTATTTCACCATGTTGGTCAAGCTGGTCTCGAACTCCTGACCTCAGGCGATCCACCCACCTCGGCCTCCCAAAGTGCTGGGATTACAGGTGTGAGCCACCGCGCTGGGTGTCTCTATATATAATTAGAGCCACCGCGCCCAGTCTCTCTCTATATAATTAAGAGCCAGGTTTCTTAAGGAAACTCCCAGCTCAGTGAGGGAGAACTGCTCTTAAACACAGAGGAAATTACATGTATTTTATTATGTCAACAACCATCTACATACAAATAAATGTGAGGCGTAAGTAATATAAAAATGGAATAGCAAGCACAAACCTGGCTAAGGGACTTTTTCACTTGCTGGTGAAATCTGCGTCTGTCCCCCGCTCCACCCACCGGCCTCCCAAGAGTCTGAAAACCACCCGGTATAAGGCTGCCACCTGGTGGCCAATATGAAAACTGCATATAGCTATGCCTTACTGTTCCTAACCCAGCGTTGTTTCAAAGAAATACAAAAGAAATACAAGGCGAGCCAAATGGATGATTTTAAATTTTCTGGTAGCCCTACTGAAAAAGTAAAAAGAGGCCGGGCACGGTGGCTCACGCCTGTAATCCCAGCACCTTTGGGAGGCTGAGGCGGGCGGATCGCTTGAGCCCAGGAGTTCGAGACCAGTCTGGGCAACATAGTGAGACCCTCTTCTCTACAAAAAAAAAATGCAAAAATTAGCTGGGTGTGGTGGTGAGACCCTGTCTCTTAAAAAAAAAAAAAAAAAAAAAGAGGGACTGGCGCGGTGGCTCACGCCTGTAATCCCAGCACTTTGGGGGGCCGAGACAGGCGGATCACGAGGTCAGGAGATGAGACCATCCTGGCTAACACGATGAAACCACGATGAAACCCCGTCTCTACTAAAAATACAAAACAATTAGCCGGGTGTGGTGGCGGGCACCTGTAGTCCCAGCTACTCAGGAGGCGGAGGCAGGAGAATAGCATGAACCCGGGAGGCGGAGCTTACAGTGAGCTGAGATCTCGCCACTGCACTCCAGCCTGGGCGACAGAGCAAGACTCCGTCTCAAAAAAAAAAAAAAAAAAAAAAAGAATTTTAATAATATATTTTATTTAACCCAATATATCTACATATTTCAACATGTAATCAGTATTTTAAAATTATTAATGATATATTTTACACTCATACTCTTTCAAACCTAGTGTGTAATTTGCACTTCCATCACATCTCCACCTGGATGCTACATTTTCATGAGAAATACTCGATCTGCATTTACATCTTGTAAAACTTACAGTTGAAAAAGTAGACTCACACCCAAATTGTCCCAAATATGCTTAAAAGCTTCCAATTATGTGTTATATTGACAAGTACAGTTAAGCAAAAGGCTGAGTTTAATCAGGGGTCGCACTTGATTTAATCTCAGCTTAAAAACAGATTCCTCCTCGGGCGGGGGTTGCCCCACCCTTGGTCTGAGTTAGACCACGTTAAACAGTGCACGCGCCTCTCCCCGCCCATCGGGTGATCTGGCTTTCTACTAACAGAAACGTCTGGAGCAGTCGCAAGAGAATCCTGTCTCGGACCAGCCTGCATCTGTACCTAATCTAGTGGTTGCGTGATTAGCCACCCAGATTCCCTCCAGGACTGCAGGCCGACCTCCCCACGCGCTGCTGTGGACAGCAGACAGTCCGCAGCTGCCGTCCTCTTTGGGAGTTTCCTCAGCTGAAGAGCATCATCTTGACCTCGGGTCCTGCCTCCTTTCTGGGCAGCTGCATCCAGTGATTGGTCAGTAGGGTTTTTTTAAAGGTCCAGTCTTTTCACCCAAACTTGGGACGATGTTGAGGCTCTATCTTCCTCTGCCCAACATTGCTCTTTCCCTACCCCTACGAGTCTTCGGTTCCAAAGGTATTGCTCCTGGGGTACCAGTAAACTTCTGTGTGGTCATCTTTATCTCAGAGTCTACTTCCTGTGGGGAGCTCCAGCTATGATCGTGTGTGCCGGGAGTGAGCTGCAAAATGCGGATGCTGAGGTGGGATTCTGGAGCTGGACTGCTGACTACCAGGCTGGCAGTGAGGACCTCTTCATGGTTGGTAGAGGAAGCGCAGATAGGTCGGGCACACGGTAGCAATGAGGTTGTGAAAGCTTCCACTGCTGATGAAATGCAATGGTATTCTAGGGAACACTATCCACTAGTGGGTGCCCTGTGTCAGGAGTTTGAGGTATGAGGGGAGAGAATACCTATAGAACGTAGGGCCAGGAGCAGCGGCTCGCGCCTGCAATCCCAGCACTTTGGGAGGCTGAGGTAAGAGAATTGCTGGAGCCTAAGAGTTCAAGACCAGCTTGGGCAACATAGCAAGACCCACGTCCCCATAAAAAATAAAAATTAGCCAGGTGTGGTGGTGTAGTCCCTGCTACTTGGGAGGCTGAGGCAGAAGGATCTCTTGAGCCTGGGAGGTCGAGGTTGCAGTGAGCTGTGATGATGCCGCTGCACTTCAGCCTGGGTGACAGAGCAAGACCCTGTCTCACAAACCCAAAAACCACAGTTAAACTAGGTGGTTGCTGCTAAACACAAAGACTTTGGGAAATGACAAAAGCTGAGAATGATTAACAGGCAATTAACAGCTAAGGGTGAAAGCCACCTTAGGAACACATAAAGAGGTTTTTATCTCTTGCAGCTGCAAGGTAGAGAAAGCTGAGGACTAGACCCAGGATTTAGTTGTAAGATCAGCCAAGCTCCCAAGAAGGTTAAATGCTCCACCTAGACAGGCTGCTGTGCCAGATGCAGGGCTCTGATGCATGAGATGCAGACATCTGGGTTGATGTACTCCCAAAACCTCAAATCCCCAGAGCCCGTAAGCCCGGAGTGCACAGAAGTGGCCCCACTCTTCCCACCGGGGCGAGAGTACCTTCCTCACAGGAGACGGAGGCTTCCCTCCTGCAGGACATTAACCCCAGCATCTCTCTCCTTTCCAGTCCTGGCCATGATGGCACCAGGCCTGGTAAGAGAGGAAAAGGACCTTGTACCAAGGGAGCTGCAGAATGGAGCCAAAAAGCGCTTGCAGGGACGGGGCACACGTGATGAGAACTGGGTGCTGAGAGAGCTGGACCAAGGGGAAAGCCCATGAAGCTGGAGAAAGGTGGGGGTATCAGTTCGGGAGGACTCTCCTAGGATACAGGACTTAATGCCTTGCTCAGGACCCTAGGGGATGGGCCACCGTGCTGCCGGATGGCTCCTAGAAGCAGGCAGAAGGCAGAGCACACTAAGCAAAGGAGAGGTGCTGGCGCTGCTATAAGATGGTGGAAAGAGGCGTTAAAAGGCTCAGAGGTGGGCAGTTGTGTGGACAAGCCCTGTGAGGCAGAACGCCCATGGGAAGGCCCGGAAGATTCATTCGTCTACGAAAGCAGGAATGTGACCATGCTGGTGAGAGGGCAGGCACAGCTAAGCTCATGGGGTGCTCCCCTCTAGAAGTCAGGGAGAAGGTGGGAGATGCTGCTATGGAACAGGCTGCTGGGCAGTGAGGGTGCTGGGAGCCTGAGATCATAAGACCAGGCAATGCCGACAGCTGGGGGCCTGCCCTGTGGCCCTATGGAGATGCCTAAGAGTTGGTCACACAGGCAAAACCAATGGCATTGCTCAAACTGTGCAAGCAGAGTCATGATGGGTGACGGGGGCTGGGTGGCCTCCATGAAACCATCTGGCTTTCTGTGGCACCGGAAGTTTGTCTCGGGCTGCTTTTCCCTTGACCTGAGGCTGGTGCTGCCCCTGTGTGCTCCCACAGGGCACCTGAGCTTCCTCTGTTGGAAACCAATTACTCCCAGTTGGACTCACCTGTTCACCCGACAGTCTTCAAGCTCGATGGTGGGCTTCGAGGCAGGAGCTGTTTCTCAGTGTCTCGTGAAGCAATAAGCTTAATCGCCCACAGGGCTTCTCCGAGTGCGAGCACCTGGGGAACCTTGTTAGCAATGCAGATTCCCAGGCTCCACGCCAGCGTACAGATTCAGAAATGGCATGGACAGGGCCCGGCCTTTAGTGTATTATACCTTCCAGGTGATTCTGATGCATGCTCAAGTGTAAGAATCTGATACACAGGAGTTCAGCAGCTGCTGGGAGAATGAGTCCCCGGGGTAGAGGGATGGGAAGGATATATTAAAAAAGAGAGGAGGTTAAGAGAAACGTCACCTCATTTTTGACCAGTAGTGGGGAAGTATTAGCTCAGGGAAGGCAGCACAGCTGTGAAGCTGTGTCACATCTGAAGACTGCTCCCTGGTAGGAGTCGGAATGCTGCCATGGAACATGCCAGAAGGTAGGAAATACAGTATCCGTTAAAGACCTTAGGTTTTAGGATCTGCAACTCTGGGTCCAAATCCTTTCTCTGCCATGGACCTGTCCCCATTCTATCCATTCCTGCTTCGCAGCCCCACCGAGGTCTGGGCTGTCTTTACCTTGGGCAAATCTTTCATTTTTTTTTCCAGAGACAGCGTCTTGCTCTGTTACCCAGGCTGGAGTACAGTGGTGCTATCATAGCTCACTGCAGCCTCAAACTCCTGGGCTCAAGCAATCCTCCCATCTCAGCCTCCTGAGTAGTTGGAACTCCGTGCACACACCACCATGCCTAGCTAGTTTTTCTGTTAAACTTTTTTTGAAGAGATGGGGTCTGGCGATGTTGCCCAGGCTGGACTAGAACTCCTGGCCCCAAGTAATCCTGCTGCCCCAGCCTCCAAAATTGCTGGGATTATAGGTATGACCCACTGTGCCCAGTCCACCTGTGTCTTTATATTTAAAATGACTCTTGTACTACATATAATTTGGCTTTGCCTTTGAATCTTTATCCCTTTGACAATTTCTGCGTTTTATTATGGTTGTTTTAGGTCTACCATTTTACTCTTCACTTTGTTCTCCCACTCCCTCCCCTATTTTGGCTCCTCTTCTTTCTTGCCCTCTTTTGTGTTAAAAATATTTTTTTTTGAGAGAAGTCTTGCTCTGTCACCCAGGCTGGAGTGTAGTGGCATGATCTTGGCTCACTGCAACCTCCGCCTCCTAGGTTCAAGCAATTCTCCTGCCTCAGCCTTCTGAGTAGCTGAAATGACAGGCACCCGCCACCACTCCCAGCTAATTTTTGTATTTTTAGTAGAGATGGGGTTTCATGTTGGCCAGGCTGGTCTTGAACTCCTGACCTCAAGTGATCTGCCTGCCTGTCTCGGCCTCCCGAAGTGCTGGGATTGCAGGTGTGAGCCACTGCACTGGGCCTAAAAATGTTTGATTTCAGTTTTAATTTATCTACTAGTGTTTTGGATATACTGTTGCTTTTTTTCTTCAGTGGTTGCTCTAATACAGCCTTAACTTCTCGTATTCTTAGTATTGTAGCACATCACGCACCTTGAAAATTCTTTAACCTCTCTGAACTTCAGTTACTTCATTTATAAGACGAGAATGGTGACTTTCTCTCATGGGTTATCTGACTGCCGAATGAGAGAACTCAAGCCGCGTACACGGCCAAGGGCAGAAAAGCAATGCCTGTTGACTGTCATGGCTGATCCTAGTCCCGTCACTACTGTCAGAATGTGGTTCCAGTCATCAGCACTGGGCCTCCTGAGACCACACGGAGCCACCACTGAGCATCCCCAGCGGCTGACCCACTGCAGGGGGTCATTTGTCTACCTGCTGTGATCACCCATTCTGCTAAATGGCTGCCCCTCAGAGACACTGGTGTCTCACCAGGGCACCCCTCAGCTGCCCTTTCCTTGCCCAGGCCTGGCCATCCTGTGCCCCTTCTGCAGGCTGCTCCTGGGCCGGTAGACCCAAACCACCTGACGCAGCCAGGCCCCACACGCCATGGCCTGCTCCCAGTCACAGAAAAAGTCTGGCTTGATTTTCACCACTGCAGTCCTCCCTGTGCCCTTCAGATGCCTGGACTCTGCCTGTCCTGGACTCTGCCTGTCCAAACCTCCATCTGCTGCCCATTCTTCTCACTCGCAGTGATGGCTTTAGCAATCTGCAGGGACACAGGCCTCCAGGGACACTGTCTTCTCACACTCAGCATCAGCCCCACAGAGTGGAAGTGCCAGCCCTCCCGGGGGCGGCCTGTGCAACCACTCCAAGTGGGTTTTGGGGAATGTGGTTCTGGGCCTTTCTTTTCTTTGTGTGTGTGTGTGGTGTTGGTTTTTTTTTTTTTTAAAGACAGAGTCTCACGTTGTCTCCCAGGCTGGTGTGGAGTGGTAGGAACATGGTTCTCGACCTCCTGGGCTCAAGCAATCCTCCCACCCCAGATTCCTGAATAGCTGGAGGCCAAGTAGGTGAGTCCCAACTTCAGACTTAGAAATAAAGACATAACCCAATACGCAGTTCAGTTATGAAAAATATCCACGGAAGTGGAAAAAGATCTCTAAAATATCAGGATAAAAATGGGCTGTATGGCCAAATACAGTGAGCATGGACTCAGAGTTGAACAGGAAGAAGTCTCAACTGGAAATACACCTCATGAGCTGGGTTTTGTTGTTCTTGGCATTGCTGCTTTCGGCTGGCTGCCTCACCAGTAGGATAAAAACCACTGCCTCCTAGGCTTGTGTGAGGATTAAATGAAGTACAGTTACATCTTGAGATACGCCCAGACTGCAAGAATTTGTCTTTAAGAGGAGCTTCACTTAAAAGCACTGTGGTTTATGAGGATTACAAGGCACTTCAAAAGAGCGCTGATCTTCCGTCGCAGGGTTTCACCATGGCCTGGGGCCCTAAGGAGCACTTGAAGCGTGCTGCAGTGCCGAAGCATTGGATGCTCGACAAACTAAAGGGTATATTTGCACCTCGTCCATCGACAGGTCCCCACAAGCTGAGGGAATGTCTTCCGCTGATCGTCTTCCTCAGGAATAGACTCAAGTATGCATTGACCGGAGATGACGTAAAGGAGATATGTATGCAATGCTTCATTAAAATTGATGGCAAGGTTCGAGTGGCTATCACATACCCTGCTGGATTCACGGATGTCATCGGCATCAAGACAGGTGAGCATTTCTGCCTGGTCTGTGACCCAAGGGCTGTGTTGCTGTTGATCGCGTTACAGTCGAAGAGGCAAAGTACAACCTGTGCAAAGTGAGGAAGGTGACTATGGGGATGAAGGGAATCCAACGCCTGGTGACTCATGATACTGGAACTATCCACTACCCAGATCCTGTCATCAAGGTGAACAATACTGTGCAGATTGATTTAGGGACTGGCAAGATAATCAACTTTATCAAATTCCACACAGGCAATGCGTGTATGGTGATTGGCGGAGCCAGCCTCCGTCATGTTGGTGTGACCAACAGGGAAGGACATCCTGGTTCTTTAAATGTGGGGCATGTGAGGGATGCCAATGGCAACAGCTTTGCCCTGAGGCTTTCCAACATTTTTGTCACTGGCAATGGCAGTAAACCTTGGATTTCCCTGCCCAGGGAAAAGGGCACCCGACTTACTATTGCTGAAAAGAGAGAAGAGGCTGGCCACCAAACAGCAGTGGCTAAATTGCAGTAGCAGCGTATCTGTCTCTTTTTTTTTTTTTCTCTCAAATAGTGAATTCTTGTTTCTAAAAAAAAAAAAAAAAGTTCTGATTTGAGGCTAGGCGTGGCGGCTCACTCCTGTAAACCCAGCACTTTGGGACACAGAGGTGGGTGGATCACTTGAGGGTCAGGAATTAGAGACCAGTCTGGCCAACATGGTGAAACCTCGTCTCTACTAAAAATAGCCAGGTGCAGTGGTGCGCTCTTGCAATCCCAGCTACTTTGGGGGCTGAGGCAGGAGAATCTTTTGAACCTGGGAGGGGGAGGTTGCAGTGAGCTGAGATCACGCCACTGCACTCCAGCCTGGGCGACAGAGCGAGACTCCATCTCCAAAAAAAAAAAAGATGTGATCTGGATTTTTAGAGCCTTGGGAACATGCAGCTAATGAGAGTAACCCCTGTGGTCACCTTCCTAGTTGTAGAGTGGGGTGTGCGAACTTCTCAGCATTTGTAACTTGCTACCTTGTAGGGACAACCCTGGCACTCCTTCCATTGTTTCCATTGACTTTTCTGCCTCTACTACTTTACCTTTTTGTATAAAGGCTTCTCTTATGTGAAGGATGGATGTCAAATATGCTTTCTTTGATAGTATAGTCTCAAGGGTACAATGCAGCTCTGAAAGAGCTGGAGAAGTGTAGTGATATAGTTCGATGTTCGTCTCTGTCCAAGTCTCATGCTGAGATGCCATCCCCAATGTCGGAGTTGGGGGCTGGTGGGAGGTGTTTGGGTCATGAGGGAGGACACCTCATGGCATGGTGCTGTCCTCAAGATACTTCTTGTGAGAGCTGGTTATTTAAAAGCGTGTGGCACCCCCTCCCCCTGCTCCTAATTTTGTCATGTGATGTGCCTGCTCCCCCTTCACCTTCCGCCATAATTGCTAGTTTCCCGAGGCCTCCCGAGAAGCTGAGCAGGTGTCTGCAGAACCATGAGCCGATTAAATCTCTTTTCTCGGCCAGGTGTGGTGGCTCTAGCCTGTATTCCCAGCAGTTTGGGAGGTCGAGGCAGGTGGACCACCTGACGTCAGGAATTCGAGACCAGCCTGGCCAACATGGTGAAACCCCTTCTCTACTAAAAATACAAAAATTAGCTGGGCATGGTGGTGGGTGCCTGTAATCCCAGCTACTGAGGAGGCTGAGGCAGGAGAATCGCTGGAACCCGGGAGGTGGAGTTTGCAGTGAGCCAAAATCATGCCACTGCACTCCAGCCTGGGTGACAGAGCAAGACTCCATCTTAAAAAAAAAACAACCAAAAAAAAAAAAAAACTATTTTCTTTATAAATTACCCAGCCTCAGGTATTTATAACAATGCACAAACAGCTTAATGTATGCAGACAGCCATTTTATAGGGTAATTAAGAGACCTTGCTTGTGTTGTGCTGTGTTAGCTGAGGTCAATTATCTGTGCCCATTTTAATGGGTTTATGGTGTTTTAGGATAAATGAGTGTATTTAGGGACTAAGGTGTGCATACAGATTTTTCCACCGGAATTAATGGCAATTATATTCTCCACTTAGGAGAATTCATCCTAGGAGGGGTTTTTAGGTACAAATTACCCCTTTAAAGCAGGAGAATGTAGGTGAAAAATACATCAGACCGCACAACACAAAGTTTTCTTAAATGTTTTTATGTTTTGCTTGTTTTTGAGACGGGGTTCTCACTCTGTTACCCAGGCTGGAGTGCAGTGGTGCAGTCTCTGCCTCCTGGGCTCAAGTGATCGTCCCACCTCAGCCTCTTGAGTAGCTGTGACTACAGGCATGTGCCACCACATCTGGTTAATTTTTATATATTTTGTAAAGACGGGGGAGTCTCACTATGTTGCTCAGGCTGGTCTTGAGCTCCTGGGCTCCAGCAATCCACCTGCCTTGGTCTCCCAAAGAGCCGGGATTACCGGTGTCAGCCACCATGCCATCATTAAATATTTAATAACTGGAGATATATCTAGAAATAATGTAAATGTATACAAATATACATACTGTCTTGGGTGTGACTGGCTGGGGCCGGTATCACAAGCAATAAAGGAATTCAAGATAGTTGCAGGAATAGAAAGGCAGATTTATTAGAGGGAGAGTATGGGCTGGGCACGGTGGCTCATAACTGTAATCCCAGCACTTCAGAAGGCTGAGGCAGGCAGATCGCTTGAGCTCAGGAGTTCGAGACTAGCCTGGGCAACATGGCAAAAATCCTCCTCTACCAAAAATTAAAAAATTAGCCAGGAGTGGTGCCTCGTGCCTGCAGTCCCAGCTACTTGGGAAGCTAAGGTGGGGATCATTTGAACCTGGGAGGCAGAGGTTGCAGTGAGGCGAGGTCGTGCCACTGCACTCCAGCCTGGATGACAGAACCAGACCCTTTCTCAAAAGTAGGAAGATACGTTGCAAGAGTACAATGGGCAGCACAGCAGAGATGGGGCTGCTTGCAAAGAGGCAGGGGCTTGAGGGACGTCTTACAGGCTCATGCCGGAGGGGGCTGTGTGCGGAGCAAATGGGATGTTGTGTCCACAGGTTGTATGATTAGCCTTCTCTTGGAACAGTTGCTCTCCCTCACCTGGGACCCCTTCCCTGTTGCTGCTGGCACAGCTTATCAGGACTCCACATTCCCCCTCTAACTGAACAATGCCCAAGCTCTGGCACTGGGGTGGCAGTTTCATTTTGCAGCTATTTCCTGCTGGCCTGGGGCATAGAGTTGACCCTACCTATGCCTGTTGGTCTGTCAGGAGACCCTGTGGGTCACTGTCCCGGGTTGTGAGGCCTGGGATGTTGGCTCTTGGTGGACAAGGGACTTGTTGGAGGAGGGGAGCCTATCAAGGTGAAACTGATGTCCAGCTGCATTCAGGGGAGACTAGTAAAGGTAGCCAGCATCCTCGGGGATACCGATATTCCATCCTCAGCATCATTTGAAGGTGAAACTGTTGAATTCGTCCCAGTGCTGTTTGGGATCACCTGGCTTAAGATGTCCAGAGCAGGGTGGCTGGCTGTCTTCACAGGAGAATTTAGCGTGAGAAAGAGGGGGTCCAGGTTCCCCAAAGTGTGTGTAGGTTTGCCCTGGTTGAGCTTCTGCTGTCAATGGCACTACACGTAGGGTTTGGAACTTTTGGCCAGAAAGGATAGGAGGGGCCTTCCTCCCTTCCCAGCAAGGTAGCCAAACCTGTTTACTCCTTGGCCTCCAGGCTACACAAAGGAGTGGCCCTAGCCAGTGGCATGAATTGTCAGAGGGATACTAGAGTGTTTCCCCGGGAAGACAGAAAAGGAAAGCTGTAAACTGAAAAGGTGCTGTAAACTTTTACTGAATCAGGCAGCGGTGGTCGGTGGTCGGGTGGTCAGGCATCTCTCCACCGGGACCTTCTGGTCCACTAGGGAGTAGACCTGGCTGGGGACCTTCAGTTGTCTCCAGGCTTGGGCGCTGTCCACTGAGAGGCTGGAGTTGGAGAAGAAAGGGAGAGAGGAGGGGAGGACTCCCTAAGCAGTCCGCGAGCACTTCCCATATGGGCCATCAAAATGTCACGGGTACAACTGGCTACGGCTGGTGTGGCAGGCGGTAAAGGAATTTACTAAGACAGTCCATGGGGGATAAAAGGCAGACTTATTAGAGGGAAAGCACGAAGATATGTTGCAAAGGTACAATGTGCAGCACAGCAGAGGGGCTGTCTGCAAACAGACAGGGGCTAGAGGGAAGTCTTGGGTTGTGCAGGAACGACATGCTGCTGGGCTACGTGGGGAGTGAGGTATTGGGGAACATGCCAGCAGGTTATCTGTGATGAGCCATGTCTTGGAATAATTGTTCTCCCCCAAAGGAGACCCCTTCCTCGTTGCTTACTTTCCATATACATGTGTGGAGTCTTTATCTGAAAACTGGGCTAATACGGTACAATATTTTATACTGATTTATCTTCTAAATATTTATTAGAAAATATATCAATGTAGAAGCCACCATTATAGCTCTACTCTATTTAAAACCATACCAGCTTGGTAGTAAAGGTCCTTATCCCAGAGGTAAACGCTGTTACAGCTTGCTCTAAGTCCTTCTAAAGCTACCTTGCAAAAATTAAGAGTGAGAAAATCGTGACAATGAAAGGGATCTAACCTAACGAACTCCATCTTGCTCCTAACCTCCAAGCTGCCCTTGGTCATTCCTGGACATGGGCTGAACTAGCTTTGGGAGGAGTTTATTTATTTTTTATTTTTATTTATTTATTTTGAGATGGAGTCTTGCTCTGTCACCCAGGCTGGAGTGCAGTGACGTGATCTCAGCTCACTGCTAGCTCCGCCTCCTGGGTTCACGCCATTCTCCTGCCTCAGCCTCCCAAGTAGCTGGGACTACAGGTGCTCGCCACCACACCCGGCTAATTTTTTTGTATTTTTAGTAGAGATGGGGTTTCACCGTGTTAGCCAGGATGGTCTCAATCTCCTGACCTCATGATCTGCCCCCTTTGGCCTCCCAAAGTACTGGGATTACAGGTGTGAGCCACCGTACCCGGCCTGGAATTTATAGTTTAACTTTGGAACAAAGACAACAGCCCTTTTGCAAAACAAACCCCCTTCTTGCCTGGGGACTAGACAGCCTTTGTAAGATTAACAAATTAGCCATGAGGTTAGAAATTGTGGTTTAGGAGTCTTGTAGCCAGAGGCCACAAGATTGCAAATCTCCCCATAACATCACTATTGTAAAATCTAAGATTGGTGCTCACATATCTTTCAGACCCTGCATTCTGATGTACCAGCTAGTGCCACCCAGAATGGTAATCTGGTCATGTCATTCAATAAGTTCTGTGATCCCACCCAGGAACAGAAGATGGCAAGAACCCACTTTGACCTCTTATTTATTTATTTTTTGAGATGGAGTTTCACTTTTATTGCCCGGGCTGGAGTTTCACTCTTATTGCCCAGGCTGGAGTTCAGTGGCATGATCCTGGCTCACTGTTCCCTCCACCTCCTGGGTTCAGGCGATTCTCGTGCCTCAGCCTCCTGAGTAGCTGGGATTAAGGTGCAAGCCACCACACCCGGGTAATTTTTGTGTTTTTGTAGAGATAGGGTTTTACCATGTTGACCAGGCTGGTGTCAAACTCCTGACCTCAGGTGATTCACCCGCCTTGGCCTCCCAAAGTGCTGGGATTACAGGCGTGAGCCACCGCCCCCGGCTGACCCCTTATTTCATCTCTAGACCCAACCAATCAGCACACCCCACTCCCTGACCCCCTACCCACCAAATTATCCTTAAAAAACCCGAGTCTCCGAATTTTCAGGGAGACTGATTTGAGTAATAAAACTCCGGTCTTGGTCAGCCAGTTCTGCATGAATTAAACTCTTTCTCTATTACAATTGCCCTGTCTTGATAAATTGGCTCTATCTGGGCAGTGGGCAAGGAGAACATGTCAGGCAGTTATACTTCCTGGTTTTTGTCTAAGTTTATAACATACTTCCATATGTATATACATATTCTATAAAAAATGCTATACATAATATCTTGTAACATTCTTTCATTCAAAATTAGAAAATTAGAATTTTGTATAGAACAGACTGTATAATGAACACCCATACACTCTTCATCTAGATTAGCCAATTGTATGTTGTCACATCTTCCTTCCTCCATCTCATTTCTCCCCCTCCGTGTGTATGTGTATTTATGTGTATGTGTCCCTTGATAATCCATGAGGAACTGGTTCCAGGACCTCCTGCAGATACCAAAATCCAAAAGCTAAAGTCCCTGATATAAAATGGTATAGTATTTGTGATCTATGCACACCCTCTAGTATACCTTAAATCATCCCTACTGCTTACAATACCTAATACAATTTAAATGCTCTATAGTCATTATATTTAGGGAATAATGACAAAAGGTCTATGTGTGTTCAATACACATGCAACCATCCATTTTTTTCTTTGTTCCCTGAATATTCAACCCAAGGTTGGCTGAATCCTCAGATGCAGAATCCATGGATACAGAAAGCCAACTGTCTGTGTGTGTATACATACATTTTTGGCAACTTGCTTTTAAAACTCTATCAAACATTTTTCCAGGTCAACACAATTAGTCTGACTACTTTCACTCTTAGGAGCTCTATGGTATCTACCGTATGTAAGGAACCATATGGTATTCAAATATTCCTCATATGACCTCGTGGCAAGGATCAAGAAGGAGCCTCAAGTGCTCCAAGTCAGACCCACCTCCCCAGGCTTCCTCATTTCTATTAGCAGGAGTGAAGAAGGGCCCAGAACTCTGGGTGCTCTTGGCAAGATGCCTACCCTTCCCTCCTCCCAAGACTCCAGCTTCTCCACCATTTTCTGAGACTATCAGGTCTGATCTCATTAAAGCTTTTGTCCTTATTTGCTCAGTTATAAGAGGCTCAGGATTCCTGGGTCACCCCCTGCCTGATCCCACTCTAAACTTCCTCCACTTACATCCCTTTCTGAGTCCATCTCTTGCTTCTCCCCAACTTCTAGAGATCTTCCTCTGTGCCCTCTGGAACTCACCACAGAGGTTAGGGCAGAATTCCCTATGTCTTTTTTTCTTTGAGATGGAGTCTTGGGCTGGGCGTGGTGGCTCATGCCTGTAATCCCAGCACTTTGAGAGGCTGAGGCGGGTGGATCACGAGGTCAGGAGTTCAAGAACAGACTGAACAACATGGTGAAACCCCGTCTCTACTAAAAATACAAAAATTAGCCGGACGTGGTGGTGCATGCCTGTAGTTCCAGCTACTTGGGAGGCTGAGGCAGAAGAATCGCTTGAACCCGGGAGGCGGAGGCTGCAATGAGCCGAAATTGTACCACTGCACTCCAGCCTAGGGGACAGAGCAAGACTCTGTCTTTAAAAAAAAAAAAAAAAAAAGAGAGAGAGAGATGGAGTCTTGCTCTGTCCCCTAGGCTGGAGTGCGGTGGTGCAATCTCGGCTCATTGCAGCCTCCGCCTCCCAGGTTCTAGTGATTCTCCTGCCTCAGCCTCCCCAGTAGCTGAGGCTATAAGCATGCACCACCACTCCTGACTAATTTTTGTATTTTTTTTTAGTAGAGACAGAGTTTCACTGTGTTGGCCAGGCTGGTATCGAACTCCTGACCTCAACTGATGGACCAGCCTCGGCCTTCCAAAGTGTTAGGATTATAGGCGTGAGCCACCGTGCCCGGCCAGAATTTCCTATGTATTAATGAACATTCCCTATACTTTTCTACTTCACCCTTAACACTGGTCCTGGGGGTGGGAAGATGTCCTTCTCGCTGCTTCCAGACCATTCTCCTTTCATCTTCTCTGACACCCCATGGCATGGATGCTCAGGCCATCAGACCGTACCACGTGATACTTAAAGCAGTCATCTTCTGATCCCTGGATCTCTTAAATTTTAGTTCCCACTCTAACACTACCATCTGAATTGATAATTTTAATGCTTATGTAGATTTAATACTTGGCTTTTCAGTTTCTTCATCTCCACTTTTCCAATGAGCCTGTACTCCTCCCTCCTTCAGCCAGTTATTCTCGGACACATTAATCTTGCTACTAGTAATAGCAACCTGTTTGTAATGTTTCATGCATTCCTCACTCAACCAGATTTTCTCTAGTACCCTAACAATCCTACCCCATGGAAACATAGTCTTTTCAGTCTACCACTTTTCACACTCCTTTATCCCCTCAAGTTCTTTAGATTTGTTTTTCATTAACTTTTAAAAACTGACTTATAAAATTGTGTTTATTGGGGCCAGGTGTGGTGCCTCATTGCCTGTAATCCCAGCACTTTGGAAGGCCAATGTGGGTGGATCACCTGATTGGCCAACAAGGCAAAATTCCATCTTTACTAAAAATACAAAAATTAGCCAAGCATGGTGGAGCACGCTTGTAGTTCCAGCTACTTGGGAGGCCGAGGCAGGAGAATTGCTTGAACCTGGGAGGTGGAGGTTGCTGTGAGCCGAGATTGCACCACTGCACACCAGCCAGGGTGACAGGGCAAGACTGTCTTAAAAAAAAAAAAAAAAAAAAAAAAAAAGTATGTTTATTGTATCTAACATGATGTTTACAAATGTATACATTGCAGAATGACTAAATCAGACTAATTTACATATGTATTACATGTATTTTTGTGGTGTGAATATTTAAAATCTACTCATTGATTTTTCCGGAATATATTACAGTCAGGCACGGTGATACAGCCTGTAGTCCCAGCTACTTAGGATGCTGACGTGGGAGAATTGCTTGAGCCCAGGAGTTTGAGACCAGCCTGGGCAACATAGTGAGACCTCCTCTCTTAATAGATCTCTCTTTTTTTTTTTTTTTTGAGACAAAGTCTTGCTCTCTCGCCCAGGCTGGAGTGCAGCGGCACGATCATGGCTCAGTGCAAGCTCTGCCTCCTGGATTCACGCCATTCTCCTGCCTCAGCCTCCTGAGTAGCTGGGACTACAGGCGCCCACCACCACGCCCGGCTAATTTTTGTTTTTGCATTTTTAGTAGAGACAGGGTTTCACCGTGTTAGCCAGGATGGTCACAATCTCCTGACCTCGTGATCCGCCCGCCTCGGCCTCCCAAAGTGCTGGGATTACAGGCTTGAGCCACGGCGCCTGGCCAATAGATTAAATTTATTCCTCCTATTAAACTGAAATTGTGTATCTTTTCACCAACATTTCTCTTATCCCTTCCCACACCCCTAGCCCCTGGTAATCACTATTCTGTTCTCTGCTTCTATGAGTTCAACTTTTTTAGATTCCACATATAAGTGAGGTCATGTGGTATTTGTCTTTCCATGCCAGGCTTATTTCACTTAGCATAAAGTCCTCTAGGTTCACCCATGTTGTGGCAAATAAGTTCCTTTATTTTTTGAGACAGGGTCTTGCTCTGTCACTCAGGCTGGAGTATAATGGTGCAATATTGGCTTGCTGCAACCTTTGTATCCAAAGCTCTAATGATCTTGCTGCCTCAGCCTCCCAAGTAGCTAGGACTACAGGCATGTGCCACCATGCCTGGCTAATTTTTGTTTTGTATTTTTAGAGAAAGGGTTTTGTCATGTTGGCCAGGCTGGTCTTGAACTCCTGGACTCCAGCAATCTACCCGACTCAGCCTCCCAAAGTGCTGTGGTTACTGGCATGAGCCACTGCACCTGGCCAGAGCTTCCTCCTTTAAAGCTCAGTAGTATTCCATTGTGTATGTAGACCACATCTTCTTTATCCATTCATCCATTGATAGTTAGGTTGATTTCATATCTTGGCTGTTGTGAATAATGCTGCAATGAACATGAAAGTGCAGATATCTCTTTGACAGACTAATTTCGTTTCCTTTGGATATATACCCAGTAGTGGAATTGCTGGGTCACATGGTAGTTCTATTTAAGTTATTGAGGAGCTTCCATAGTATTTTCCATAATGGCTGTACTAATTTACATTCTCATCAACTTTGTGAGACTTCCTTTTTCTCCACATCCTCACACACACTTTTTTTTTGGAGACGGAGTTTCGCTCTTGTTGTCCAAGCTGGAGTGCGATCCTGTGATCTTGGCTCATTGTAACCTCTGCCTCCCGGGTTCAAGCAATTCTCCTGCCTCAGCCTCCCAAGAGCTGGGATTACAGGAGGTGCAGGGCACCACGCCCGGCTAATGTTTTCTATTTTTAGTGGAAACAGGGTTTCACGATGTTAGCCAGGCTGGTCTCGAATTCCTGACCTCAGGTGATCCACCCGCCTCGGCCTCCCAAAGTACTGGGATTATAGGCATGAGCCACCGCACTTGGTCCATATTTATTCACTGTTTTGCTAATAGCCATTCTAACAAGGTGTGAGGTGATACCTCATTGTAGTTTTAATCTGCGTTTCCCTGATAATTAATGACACTGAGCATTTTTTCATATACCTGTCAGGCATATGTAAGTCTTCTTTTTGAGAAGTGTCTATTTAGGTCCTTTGCTCTTTAATTGGGTTATTTGTTTTCTTGCTATTGAGTTGTCTGAGTTCCTTATATTTTAGATATCCCTTATCAGACTATGATTTGCAAATAATTCTCCCCATTCCAAAGGTTGTCTTTTCACTCTTTTGATTGTTTCCTTTTCTGTGCAGGAGCTTTTTAGTTGGATGTAATCTCATTTGTCTGTTGTTGCTTTTGTTGCCTGTGCTTTTGAAGTCAGATAAAAAAAAAAAATTGACCAGATCGATGTCATGGATCCCTGCTTTCTTCTAGTCGTTTTACAGTTTCAGGTCTTACATTTAAGTCTTTAGTTTATTTTTCTGTATTTCGTTATTTTATATGTGAACGTCCAGCATTTACTGAAGAGATTGTCCTTTGCCCATTATGTGTTCTTGGCACCTTTTGTCAAGAATCAGTTGACTGTAAATGCGTGGATTTATTTCTGGGAGCTCTGTTCTATTCCGTGGGTCTATGTGTCTGTTTTGATGCTAATATGCTGTTTGGTTACTATACCTTTGTAGTGTATTTTGAATTCAACTAGTGATATGGTTTGGATTTGTGTCCCCACCCAAATGTCATGTCGAATTGGAGGAGGGGCCTGGTGGGAGGTGATTGGATCATGGGGGTGGATTTCTCCCTTGCTGCTTTCCTGATAGTGAGTTCTCATGAGATCTAACGGTTTACAAGTGTGTGGCACTTCCCCCTTTGCTAGCATGCTCTCCGGTTACCATGTGAAGAAGCTGCTTGCTTCCCCTTTGCCTTCCACCATGAGTATAAGTTTCCTGAGGCCTCCCAGTCATGCTTCTTGTTAAGCTTGTGGAACTGTGAGTCAATTAAACTTTTTTTCATAAATTGCCCAGTGTCAGGTAGTTCTTTATAGCAGTGTGAGAATGCACTGATACAGTTAGTATGAAGCCTCAAGCTTTGTTCTTTTTGTTCAAGACTGCTTTGGGTATTTGGGGTCTTTTGTGGTTACATACAAGTTTTAGGATTGTTTTTTCTATCTCTGTGGAAAATATAATTGGAATTTTGATAGGCATTGCATTGAACCTGTAGATTGCTTTGGACAGTGTGAACATTTTAACAATATTCCTCCAATCCAGGAACACAGGATAGTTTTCCATTTAATTGTATCTTCAGTTTCTTTTATCTGCGTCTTACAGTTTTTGGTGTACCAGTCTTTCATCTCCTTGGTTAAATTTATTCCTAAGTATTTAACTTTGTGTAGCCATTGTAAATGGGATTGTCTTACTGACTTCTTGTATAGATAGGTCATTGTTTATATAAAACACTACTGATTTTTGTACGTTGATTTTTGTATCCTGCAACTTCATTCATTCATTAGTCCTGAAAGTTTTCTGGTGGACTCTTTAAGGTTTTCTATATGAGATCATAGCATCTGCAAACATGGACAATTTACCTTCTTTCTTTCCCGTCTGGAAGCCTCATTTTTTTCTCTTGCCTAACTGTTCTGGCTAGGACTTCCAATACTGTGTTGAATAGAAGTAGTGAGAGTGGACATTCTTGTCTTGTTCCTGATAGTAGATGAAAAGCTTTCTCTTTTTTTCTTTTTTTTTTTTTTTTTTTTTTTGACACAGACTCACTCTGTTGCCCAGGCTGGAGTGCAGTGGCTCCATCTTGGCTCACTGCAACCTCTGCCTCCCAGGTTCAAGCAATTCTCCTGCCTCAGTCTCCCAAGTAGCTGGAATTACAAGGCTGCACCACCACACCTGGCTAATTTTTGTATTTTTAGTAGAGACAGGGTTCCGCCATGTTGGCCAGGCTGGTATTGAACTCCTAACCTCAAGTGATCCGCCTGCCTTGGACTCCCAAGGGACTGGGATTACAGGTGTTAGCCACTGTGCCCAGCCAGATAAAAAGCTTCCAACTGTTCACTATTAAGTATGTTAGCTGTGGGCTTGTCATATATGGCCTGCCTTGTGCTGAGGTACATTCTTTCTATATCTATTTTGAGAGTTTTTATTATGAAAAGATGTTGAGTTTTGTCAAATGCTTTTTCTGCATCTATTAAGGTGATCAGAATAGATTTTGTCCTTCATACTGTTAATGTGGTAGATCACATTTATAGACTTGTGTATGTTGAAACATCCTTACATCCCTGGGATAGATCCCACTTGATCATAGTGAATTGTCTTTCAATGTGCTGTTGAATTTGGTTTGCTGGTATTTTGTTGAGGGTTTTTGCATCTATGTTCATCAGGGATACTGGCCTGTAATTTTTTTTTTTCTTCCAGTGCCCTTGTCTGGCTTTGGTATCAGGGTAATGCTGGCTTCATAAAATAAGTTTGAAGGTGTTCCCCCTTGTTCAATTTTTTTGGATGAGTTTGAAAAGAATTGGTATTAGTTCTTTAAATGTTAAGTAGAACTCAGTACTGACACCATTAAGTCCTGCGCTTTTCTTTGATGGATTTGTAATTCAGCCTCTTACTGAGTTTGTTGTTGATGTTGTTTTTGAAATGGAGTCTCATTCTGTCACCCAGGCTAGAGTGCAATGGCACAATCTTGGCTCACTGCAACCTCTGCCTCCCGGGTTCAAATGATTCTCCCTGCCTCAGTCTCCCAAGTAGCTGGGATTACAGATGCCCGCCACCATGCCCGGCTAATTTTTGTATTTTTGGTAGAGACAGGGTTTCGTCATGTTGGCCAGGCTGGTCTTGAACTCCTGACCTCAGGTAATCCGCCTACCTCAGCCTCCCAAAGTGCTGGGATTACAGGCATGAGCCACTGTGCCTGGCCTTTTCCCCACCCACCCCCCCTACCCGAGTCTCACTCTATTGCCCAGACTGGAGTGCAGTGTGCGATCTCGGTTCACTGCAACCTCTGCCTCCTGGGTTCAAGCAATTCTCCTGCCTCAGCCTCCAAAGTAGGGGGGATTACAGTTGCCCGCCACCACGCCTGGCTAATTTTTGTATTTTTAGTAGTGATGGGGTTTCACCATCTTGCCCAGGCTGGTCTCAAACTCCTGACCTCAAGTAATCCACCCGCCTCGGCCTCCCAAAGTGCTGGGATTGCAGGCGTGAGTCACCACGCCCAGCCTATTGGTTTTTCTGTTTCTTCATGATTCAGTGTTGGTAGTTTGTATGTGTTTAGGAATTTATCCGTTTCTTCTAGGTTCTCTAATTTGTTGATGTATAATTGTTCATGGTATTCTAATCCTTCGTATTTCTGTGGTATCAGTTGTAACACTTCCGCTTTCATTTCTGATTTTGAGTTGTCTTTTTTCTTACTCTACCTAAAAGTTTTCCAATTTTATCTTAAAAAATTCTTAAGGTTTTTTTCCTGTTGTCTTTTTCTAAGAAATGAATGAATAAATCCATGAATAATTTATTTCTGTTCTGATATTTTCTTCTAACTTTGGGCTGCTTTTTCTAGTTCTTTGAGGTATAGCATTATTTGTTCTCTTTTGATATAGGCATTTATTGCTATAAACATCTCTTAGAACTGCTTTTAGTGAATCCTATAAATTTTTTTTTTTTTTTTTTTGAGATGCAGTCTCCCTCTGTTACCCAGGCCGGAGTGCAGTGGTGCGATCTCAGCTCACTGCATGAATCCCATAAATTTTGGTATGTTGTGTTTCTGTTTTCATTAGTCTCAAGACTTTTTTTTTTTTTTTTTTTTTTTTTTTTGGAGACCAAGTCTCACTCTGTCACCCAGGCTGGAGTGCAGTGGCGCGATGTTGGCTCACTACAACCTCTGCCTCCCATGTTCAAGCAATTCTCCTGTCTCAGCCTCCCAACTAGCTGGGATTACAGGCATGTGTCAGGCACGCCGGGCAATTTTTTGTACTTTTTTATTTTTTAGTAGAGATGAAGTTTCACCGTGTTAGCCAGGATGGTCTCTATCTCCTGACCTCGTGATCCACCCGCCTCAGCCTCCCAAAGTGCTGGGATAACAAGCGTGAGCCACCGCGCCCAGCCTGTCTCAAGATGTTTTTAAATTTCTTATCTGACCCACTGATTAGGAGCATGTTGTTTAATTTCCACATATTCGTGCATTTTTCAAAATTCTTCCTATTACTGATTTCTATTTTTATACCACTGTGGTAGGAAAAAAATACTTGATATAATCTTAAATTTAAGATTTGTTTTGTGGCCTAATATACATCCTATCCTAGAGAAGTTCCTTGTGTGCTTGAGAAGAATGTGTATGCTGCTGCTATTGGATGGAAATTCTGTGTATGTCTCTTAGGTCCATTTGGTCTAAGCTGTAGTTTACATCTCCTTACTGATTCTGTCTGGATGATCTGTCTGTTGCTGAAAGTAGGGTATTGAAGTCTTCTACTGATATTATGTTACAGTCTCTCTCTCTCCCTTCAGGTCTATTAATATTTGCTTTATATATTTAGGTGCTCAGATGTTGAATGTATATAAATTTAGAGGTATATCTTCTTGATAAATTGACACGTTTGTCATATAATGACCTTTGTGTCACAATTTTTGACTTAAAATCTAGTTTATCTGATTTAAGTATAGCTATCCCTACTCTTTCGGTTTCCATTTCCATGGAATACTTTTTCCATCCTTTCACTTTCAGTATATATATGACCTTAAAGGTGAAGTGAGTTTCTTATAGGCAGCATATAAATGGGTCTTCAAAAATTTTACTCAGCCACTCTTTTAACCAAGGAATTTAATCCATTTGTATTTAAGGTAATTACTGATAGCCAAGGGCCCACTATTGCCATTTTGTTAATTGCTTCTTTCCTAGATCCTTTGTTCCTTTCTTTCCCTTTTGCTTTCTTACTTGTAATGACGTGATTTTCTTTGGTGGTATGCTTTGATTTCTTTTTTAAAATCTTTTGTGTATCTACTATAGATTTTTTGCTTTGTGGTTAGCATAAGGCTTACAGAAAATATAGTTATCATAGGATATTTTAAGTAGATAACAACTTTGATTGTAAACCAAACTACATGTTCTCTACCCCTTTCCACATTTTATGTTTTTAATGTCACAATTTACATCTTTTTATAGTGTGTATCCCTCAACATTTTATAGCTATTATTTGTTGATTAGTTTTTTTGAGACAAAGTTTCTTTCTGTCACCCAGGCTGAAGTGCAGTAGCACAATCTTGGCTCACTGCAACCTCCACCTCCTGGGTTCAAGCAATTCTCCTGTCTCAGCCTCCCAAGTAACTGGGATTACAGGCATGCACCACCATGCACAGCTAATTTTTGTATTTTTAGTAGAGACAGCGTTTCACCATGTTGCCAAGCTGGTCTTGAACTCCTGACCTCAAGTTATCTGCCCGCCTTGGCCTCCCACAAGTGCTGGGATAACAGGCATGAGCCACCGTGCCCAGTTCCCTTTAGTATTTCTTGAAAGATAGGTCTGGTGGTAATGAACTTCCTCAGCTTTGGTTTGTCTAGCAAAGTTCTTATTGCTCCTTTATTTCAGGACAGATTTGCTGGATACAGTATTCTTGGTCAGCATTTTTTTTTCCTTCAGCAGTTTGAATATGTCATCCCACTCTCTTCATAGCCTGTAAGATTTGTTTGGAAATCCACTGCTAGCCTTATTGAAGCTCCCATAAGTCATTTGCTTTATTTCTCTTGCTGTTTTCAGGATCTTCTCTTTGACAGTTTAACATGTACTCCTGTAGTCTTGTTAGGTCTCCAGTCAGATTCAATCCTTTCACCTTCCTATACCTGGATATTCACATATTTTCCCAGATTTGTACAGTTTATATCTTCCTTTCTCCCTGCCTTCCTCCCCTGCTTCCACCCCCTATTCCCCTTCCTATTCCTCTTTTCCCTTCCCTCCCCACTTCCTCCCTCCTGCGTTGTGTTTTTGAGACAGGGTCTCACTCTGTCACCCAGGCTGGCATACAGTGGCATGATCATGGCTCACTGCATCCTCAACCTCCTGGTTCAAGGGATTCTCCCACTTCAGGCTCCCAAGTAGCTGAGACTACAGGCTCATAACACCACATCAGGCTAATTTTTTGTAGTTTTCTACAGATGGGGGTTTCACTATATTTCTCAGACTGGTCTTGAACTCTTAGGATCAAATGATCCTGCCTTGGCCTCCCAAAGTGTTGGGATTACAAGCATGAACCACCCCCACCCTGGCCCTATTATTTAACCTTTCTGCCCTTTTGTCTCTCTTTCCTTCTTGAACTTCTGAGTGTCAAACATTTGTTCTTTTGATGGCATTCCATAAATGCCACAGTCTTTTCATTCATTCTTTTTTCTCCTCTGACTGGATATTTTGAAATAAAATGTCTTTGAGCTCACATTCTTTCTTCTGCTTGATCACTTCTGTTGTTGCTGCTCTCTATTGCATTTTTCATGTCATTAATTATATTCTTCAGAATTTTTTATTTTTATAATTTAAGTTTCTAATGTTGGTCATTTTCTTTTTTTTTTTTTTTTTTTTTGAGACAAGAGTCTTGCTCTGTTGCCCAGGCTGGAATGCAGTGGCACGATCTTGGCTCACTGCAAGCTCCGCCTCTAGGGTTCACACCATTCTCCTGCCTCAGCCTCCCGAGTAGCTGGGACTACAGGCGCCCACACCATGCCTGGCTAATTATTTGTATTTTTAGTAGGGACAGGGTTTCACTGTGTTAGCCAGGATGGTCTCCATCTCCTGACCTTGTGATCCACCCGCCTCGGCCTCCCAAAGTGCTGGGATTACAGGTGTGAGCCACTGCGCCCGGCGGTCATTTTCTTGATTTAATCAAATTCTCTATTTTCTTAAGAAAATTTAATATGCTGAGCTTCCTTAAAATAATTATTTTGAAATGTCAGGCAGCTCATACATTATCCAAATCTTCTAAATTTCTTTAGGGTCCATTACTGGTGCTTTTTTTGTTGTTCCTTTTTCGGAGGGTCATATTTCCCTGATTGTTCTTGATCCTTCTAGTGTGTTAGTATCTGGGCATTTGAAGAAATAGTGAATAAGTATTCCAGTCTGCAGACTGCCATTGTCTGGGAAAGCTCTTCACCAGTCAACCTGTCCAGAGATTCTGGGGAGGCCATCTGGTGTGATCTGCAAGTGAGTTTGCTGCTGGAGTCCTCAGCCAGGATGGCCTGGTACCTGCATCAGCAGATGGGCAGACCTGGTGCTTGAGTCTACAGAACTGGGCCTGAAGCTTGGATCTACTGGAGTGGACCTGTTGATTGGGTGCATAGGGGTAACCCTGGAACTTGGGTCCTTGAAGGTAAGCCTGGAAACTGTATCCTCTTGGGTTGGCCTGAACCCTTGTTCCATGGGGGCTTACATGGTGCTGGGGTAGGCCCCGGGCTGTGTACAGTGTGCTAGGGTAGACCTGGGCAGGCCTTGGCACCATGTCAGTGCCTGTAGACTGAGGTGAGGCAAGGGCCAGCCTGGAGCCTCAGGCCAGGGGTGCTGACCTGGCTCGGGGCTGGTCTAGAACCCAGGACAGACCTGAAGCCTTGCATCTGCAGGCCTGGAACCCGACTGTGGGACCAGACCTGAAGCTTGGTGAGCCTGGACCACTGAGGTTGGTCTGGAGGTGAGGTGAGCAGACCAAGTCTGCTGTGCTGGCCTGGGGCTATGGGATTCAACCTCATGGTGGGGTCGGCCTGGAAGTTCTCTGTGGGTAGTGGCCTGGGGTCTAGGGCAGTGGGGCCTGCCTAGCTCTGAGTTTTACCCAGGTGAGAAGGTGTTTGGGATGGAGGCAAAGTCCAGTGTTCACTTTCTTCTCTTTCCCCTGTATGGAGGGTGTCTCTGTTGACACTATGGTGCCTGGGGTTGGGGAAGAGGTAATAAAAATAATGTAACACTGTCCTTCGTGCCCTCTTCAATGCATCCTTTTTTTTTTTTTTTTTTTGAGATGGAGTCTCGCTCTGTTGCCCAGGCTGAAGTGCAGTGGCACAATCTAAGCTCACTGCAACCTCAGCCTCCCAGGTTCAAGCGATCCTCCTACCTCAGCCCCCCTAGTAGGCGGGATTACAGGCACGCACCACCATGCCCGGCTAATTTTTGTATTTTTAGTAGAGACGGGGTTTTGCCATGTTGGCCAGGCTGGTCTCAAATTCCTGACCTCAGGTGACCCACCCACCTTGGCCTGCCAAAGTGCTGGGATTATAGGCGTGAGCCACTGCGCCCGGCCGCATCCTTTATTTCTACACTATACCCAGGTGCTGTGATCTCTTACTTGGTTTCTTTAGCTCTTGTGAAGGTAATTTTGTGCATGGAAAGCTATTCAAACTGATGTTTCTGCAGGGAGTCAAGTGCTAGAAAGTTCTATTCTGCCATCTTGCTGAAACCACTCCCGCTGATTTCCCTCTCTGAAGTTGTGACTCTTCACCTAATCAGCTTAAGTCCCATGGTTCATGTATTTCACACCAGTCAATCCAGGCTAAATCCAACTCTGCTGAATGTGGCTGGAACAAAACATACAACCCTGACAATTGATGTTATGTTAAACTCATGACCACTAACCTCAAGTGGGCCTTTAGTGTATCGTACATTTCCTTAATTTTTTCACTCTTCCCTATCCCCCAAACGTCTCACACCACCTCTACCATCCTCACTCTCAGCTAATAACTATGTTTTCAGTTTAACAGTGGAAATAAAAGCAATCAGACAAGAACACTCACAAGCTCTAGCATCTTCTCTGCCCACGCTCTGCCTTCCTCCTGGTTGGTGCTCCAGCGTCTGACCTCTTCACTAGTACCCTGGATCCCAGTGTCTTCACCTGCTCAGGCTCTGCTCTAGTCCATTCTCCTCCTCCTCTTCTCGTACAGCGTCAATTTTTCTACTTATCGTTCCCATGAGTATATAAATTTATCCTAGAATTTCTAATATTTTAAAACACCAAAATCCTCAAAAGCCCCCATCTCTTCAGTTACCCATCCGTTTCTCTGTGTTGGGAGACAATTCTCCATGGGTTTCTCACGTTTCTCACTATCTTACAAGTACATATGGTGATGGCTTTTGTTACAGGCTGTTTTCAGGATGAATAGCCTTAGATAGGTAATCCGTTCTCCAGAGCAACAGTTTGTTTAGCATCCAGTATAATATGTCTTCCTTCTAGACAAAGGTTTGATAGATTTACTTCTAGACCACTGTTTAAGATTCAGGCTCCCTAAACTTGGACCTCCCCTCCTGTAACTCCACCCAGCAAATGTGTATTCGAGGTCAGTACAGTATGTCTTCTGCCAGTATCCATGAAACTGGTAGCTTAACTTGTTACCTTGCAAGTAGGACAAAATCTCAGACTTTTCAGTCCTTAACACTTGGCCCCTTATTCACAGCTCCTGTTTCCAAGTTTATCTTGAATCCTCCTAGATTTACCCTGACCACTCCTTTATAACTGTTTTTTTCAAAATGACCTCACTGATGGTTAATCTCAGCATATATCCAACTTCATACAAATTATTAGTATTTGATATAGTGGCCACTCTTCTACTTCAAAATAAGTGTTTTCAGCTGGCTTCAGATACCACCCTCTACTGGTTTTCACCCTAACCCTGGTGGTTCCTTCTCAGTTTCATTTGCCAGTTCCTGCCCAGCAAACACTGGGGTGAGTGCTCGGGGCTCAGTCCTTGACATTCTTTATACTTTTTTTTCCTAGGTAATCTCACCTAGCTTTATGGCTTAAAATATTATCCCTGTGACAACTCCCAAATTTTTATTTCCTCTGAAATTGGGCTTCAGAGTCAGTCATCTTACCTCTAAACGCATAAGAGGCATGAGACAAACAGTTGCCACTTGGAATGACCATAGGGGAAGAAGGGTCCTTCTGGGAAAGCCTCATTACAGTCGGACCAGCAAGGCTGAAACTGAGATGGGAGATTTGCTGATTGTGCTGTTTCCCCTCCTGGTCCATCCTCCATCTTTCTACCCTGCTTTATCCCAGGAGGACGGCATCACCCGGGCTTCTGATTAGGTTCAGTTGATGGAGGCATCTTCAGGAGACAGCAATAAAGAGCTGAGGCTTTTCCCCCTCTGCTCCCTTTCCTGACAGTTCTGTGTTTCTCACAGTAGCTGCATCTTTGTAGAGCTTCAACATCCACTTAAGAGACACTCTTCCTTTTTATTTTTCTATCTCCTACAGGAAAGAGACCTTCCAACATTTTGGCTCTCACTGGGCTCTGAAACACCATTTCTTCCTTTGGTCCCTAGGGAGACAACAGCTTCTTGGCACTGCTGGTCTCTGGATTCCTTACCATCCGTTGTTTGTTCCCTTAATCCTTCTCTCATTCTCCAAGTCATCCTTTCATAAGGCGCTAATTCAGTTTACTGCTAAAGCCCTCACTGATAAAGCTGGTGAGGTCCACAGGTTAAAAATGGAAGGAATTCTATTCACCAGGCCCATAAAATCATATACAAAGACACACATATATAAGGGTTTATCTTTATTTTATAAAAACTGCTACACACACACATACACTCTCTCTCTCCCCTCTTGCTTTCCTCATTTGACCTAGAGAAGTTTGGAGTTTGTTCCCACACATTCTTTTCAAGGAAATACCATTCAGCCATGGTATGTTTTTACCACAATTTATTCATCCATTCCCTTACTGATGGTCTTTTTTTTGTTTGTTTTTTTGGTCCTTACCAAAAAATACAATATACATTAGTAAACATATAATCTTAAGTGCTGGCGCTTTTTATTCCTTAGGGATAGATTCCCAGGAGATTCCTAGGTTGTAAGAGTATATTAATGTTAAAACAGACTCACAATGTTGTCCAAGGAGGCTGTTACAATTTACATTTCTAAAAGCAGCTATGAAAATAACGTTTTCCCCTCCTTTGTGAGTAAGTAAGATGACAACTTAGACAAAAGCTTATTGGGCTATGGATGTTCTGGATAAATTTGTTCAGAAAGTCACTCAATATATAGTGTGACAGCACATCAATGATATCCAAAAATATTTTTTAAAAGCCAGTTTTTGGTTGCCATTTATAATTTCCAATACATGATTTGTGATTGATAGGGAAAGGCTGAACTTAAGAATTTGAAATCAAGTCTATAAAAGCAAATCTTTGAGTTACACAACAATTCTTGTTAATATCTGGAGAGACCACTGAAAAATCTGATTTTTATAAAAGTGTAAACATGTAAAGGAAAAGTAATAACTTATAACTCATGTTCCAAAGGGAAATGTTTTAGGTTGGCAACAGCAAAACTCAAGGAAGTAGAAATGCCTCCTTTAAACAACAAAATAGTGTAAAAATTTACTTCTAAAGGGGGTTATGCACGTGAAAAATTTAAAAAGCAATGAAACAGTTGACAGTTATTTAAAATAATTTTTCCTCTAAAGTCTCTGAAATGTAACATTTGTGAACTACAGAAGCATCCTACCATTTTTGCTAGACAATTCATGAAATATTAAGGGAAACAAGGAAAGACAAAAACAGGTGGTTTCTGTCTGTGTTACACAATATTTTGGTAACAGACATGCATTTGTATGCAAATATCCCACGGGAAAATAAGAGCATGACGAATGGGGATATTGTCTTTACACGGCAAACTCTTATTCTGTGGTGCATACTGAGTAGTACAGCTCATGTCTGCCTCCTTCACGTTATAGATCGGTTATTTCACATTTGCATATTTGTGTAAATAGTGCTTCTAGAAAATCTTCAGCAAACCAGAAGCAGGGAAAACTTCAACACTGTCTTCTGTTTCCTAAGAGGCAGCTCAAGAACAATGTTCATACCAACTGATATATGCCAGCAAGCAGTAGGGAAAGACGTAGGTTCCATGCTACTTTAAATGTTACACATTTCATTTGGAATGCATACTGGATTGCAGAGATACTGAAAAACACATGTGATGTTTAGTATGGAAAATCTTGTTATGTCCTAATTATCACAGAGGACAAGAATTTCAAATTCCCAGTGATTATGCTAAATTCACATGTGCAGATCTAAAGCATACCACTTGTGTTTTGTGGCATATCCACATAAAACCACTAAATTCATAGGATACTGTTTGTATATTTCTTATGCTGCTGTCTAGAATACTCAATTCATTCAAGATTTTAAAAAGCTCATTGTAGTACAACTGGGTATGGCTATTTACAACTGGATATATTCTGATATGTATTCTTTAGCTGGGTATCACATGTAACTTCCAGTATAATGTTCTCATGGGATCCTATTTTTAATACATTTTTGAGTTGAGAGATTGCATCTCAGTATGAATTCCCATGTTCCCTCAATACTGTCATGAGGTTTTTCACCCGCTTGAAGAGTTCTGGCAGGAGTTTTCCACAGTAAGACCTGGCTGGAGTTTCAGGGTTTCTCCCCGATGTGAACTCTCTGATGGACACTGAGTCGGGACTTCCTGCTAAAGGCCTTCCCACATTCGGAACACTCATATGGTTTCTCTCCTGTGTGGATTCGCAAGTGTAATCTAAGAGTTGACCTCTGGCTGAAAGTTTTGCCGCACTCAGTACATTCATAGGGTTTCTCTCCTGTATGAGTTCTCATGTGTATGATGAGCTGTGAGTTCTGGATAAAGGATTTTCCACATTCACT
Organism: Homo sapiens; assembly: GCF_000001405.40. Lineage (NCBI taxonomy): Eukaryota > Metazoa > Chordata > Mammalia > Primates > Hominidae > Homo > Homo sapiens. Next base: position 278 of record NW_018654723.1, on the reverse strand, counting down.
GCACTCATAGCGTTTCTCCCCCGTGTGAATCTTCTGATGTATGATAAGGTTTGACTTCTTAAAGAAGGTTTTTGCACATTCGTTACACTCATAGGGTCGCTCTCCTGTATGAATTCTCTGGTGTGTGGTGAGTTCAAACTTTTGGGCAAATGTCTTTCCACATTCACTGCACTCATAGGGCTTCTTCTCCATATGTGCTCTCTGGTGTACAATGAGGTTTGACTGGTGGGTGAAAGCTTTTCCACATTCCGGACACTCGAAAGGTTTCTCCCCAGTGT